>NC_000010.11:83930974-84082489 GCF_000001405.40 Homo sapiens
ATATGTCAGTTGGAATAGAATCATTATCAAAACGTATCAGTGGAGAAAAATTCCAGAAATTAAAAAAGAATAGATATTGAAAGTTAAAATGCAACATTACATTGTACACCTTAAATGGATACAATTTTTATTTGTCAATGATACCCCAGTAGATATGGAAGGAAAAAATTAAGTGATTCACTGGGTTCTAGGAAAACTATAATACAGAAATCAGCATGAAAATATAGAATACATAAAAACAAAGGCCAGGAAGGAGAAAAAATATATATATAGAATACTATTATTAGATATTTATTAAGATAAATGAATGAATAAAGACTATTGTATCAATCCAAACTTTCATTTATATGTGACAATGATGAAGATAATCTTGACAAGAAACCTCACATATGAAACAGGCTATTCTCAGTAATAACTGTAGTAACTTATACTCACTAAGCAGCTCCATCTACCCCATTCTGTGCTAGTCATTGCTCTATGATCCATCATCTATTAACCCCTTCTATCCACTCCCAGTTTACAAATGAGGAGACTGGGTCAAAAGTAAAATAACCTCTCCAATGAGATAGAGCAAGTAAGTGATGGAGTCAGTTTTCAAACTCAGGTCATCAAACTCAAAGTTCAAGTGCTTAACCAGAATGCTCTGCTAGTTCTAAAGGTGGTCAGTGTTAATTCTACCACCACAGTGGTTATTATAAGTTCAGGTTGGCTATCAGACCTAGGAGACACAATAGGCTTTAATCTAATGCTAGACTGACAGGGTAATTCAAGGACACCAGACAAGAGATGTGGCAAGTACTCAACTCATCAGGAGGCTGAGCAACTACCTTTACCTCCTCACTGGCATGGCACAGGTGCCACTGTCCTGGACAAGGACCAAGCTGTGTGGGAGTGACCTTGATGCAAAAGGGCTGCATGCTGTTTCTCACGAAACTTTCTAGTCGCACAGATGTGAGCTGGCCAGCTCATAGCTCCCCAAGCCAAGCACAGTTCCCCACTGCAGACAAAGCAGATATAACATTCGAAATTTACCCTGAATCTATAGTTTCTAAGAGAATCAGGCTGAGGAGACAAGTTGGAGGTCATTCTCCCAGGCGTGGATAGATCAACCCAGGCCTGGTATGAACTCTACTTAACAACTATGTGCCTCGCAGAAGCTGTGTACCTTGGAGCTTCCCATTAGCACATGTTTTTGTTCAATGTTCCCATATCACATTGAATCCATCAGAGGAATCCATGTCTTGCCTCAAATATAAAAGCAAATCCCAAAGATAGGCAATGCGAATAAGCATCAGGTGTTCTTTCCAATTATACAGACCAAATCATTTCTCCAGGTAGTAGCCTTACTAATGTCACCATGGAGTTTTTAAAATTCTGCAGCCACTTGGAGAAAGATCAGCATCAGAAAGGGCTGAGGTCTCTCCTGCTGGAGAGAACAAAGCAGGCTGAGACGGAAACCAGCAGGCCCAGCTCAGGGACTCACCAGGAGCCCAGTCCTGATTTGGGGAAGTGAAACACATACAAAAAATAATATTCCAGACACTACAAAGGCCTCCCTGAAAACTCAAAAGTGACAAGACATGTTCTTAGAAAGTAAGCAAGAGCTAATCAAAGGCTGGCAGGCTTCTGAAAAGATCATTGTGTGTTTATTTCAAAAGTGGTCTTTGAGGGTGTTTCAGAAGTCAAGGACACTTCCAGGGAAAGTCAACACAAAGTTACCTGGAGTAAAAATGAACAAAAACAAAAAGGCTTCTTTCGTCTTCCCAGAAGCAACCAGGTAGGAACATGTGATGGTTAATATTGAGTGTCAACTTGATTAGATTGAAGGATGCAACATATTGGTCCTTGGTGTGTCTGTGAAGGTGTTGCCAAAGAAGATTAACATTTGAGTCAGTGAAGTGGAAGAGGAAGACCCACCCTCAGTCTGGGTGGGCACCATCTAATCAACTGCCAGCAAGGCTAGAATAAAGCAGACAGAAGATAATGGAAGGACTAGACTGGCTAAGTCTTCCAGCCCTCATCTTTCTCCTGCGCTGGATGCATCCTGTCCTCAAACATCAGACTCCCAAGTTCTTAAGCTTCTGGACTCTTGGACTTACACCAGTGGTTTGCCAGGGGCTCTCAGGTTGCAGCCACAGACCCACAGATTGAAGGCCAGACTGTCAGCTTCCCTACTTTTGAGGTTTTGGGACTCAGACTGGCTTTCTTGCTCCTCAGCTTGCAGATGGCCAATTGTGAGACTTCACCTTGTTATCATGTAAGTCCACACTCCTTAATAAACTCCCCTTCATATATACATCTATCCAATTAGTCCTGTCCCTAATACAGAGCAGCATTGGGAATACTTAGAAAAGAGCCTATTGCTGTTGGTCTGCTAACCTCTAGGGCCAGGACCACCCTTCCCTAAGGGACTATTCTAAATCAAAGACCAGTATATGGACTTTGAGCCATGGCATATAAATGTGAGAAAATTGAAGCATGGCTGAAGTAGAATTGTAGGCATATATCTATTCAGAATCCTCTTTTTCAATCAAAGATACTTGCTATTATTTGATCCTGTATAGCAGGGGTCAGCAAATATGCCTCTGGGTTGAATCCATTTCTTCACTTATTTGAGAAAATAAGATTTTATTGGGACACCGCCAGGACTGGCCTCATGGGCGTGCAAACTGTGTCATCACAGAGGGCCTCACACTTAGAAGGTCCCACATTTGGACAGGCACGGTGGCTCATGCCTGTAATCCCAGCACTTTGGGAGGCCAAGGCGGGCAGATCACGAGGTCAGGAGATCGAGACCATCCTGGCTAACATGGTGAAACCCCGTCTCTACTAAAAAAAAATACAAAAAAATTAGCCGGGCGTGATGGCGGGCGCCTGTAGTCCCAGCTACTTGGGAGGCTGAGGCAGGAGAATGGCGTGAGCCCGGGAGGCGGAGCTTGCAGTGAGCCGAGAGTGAGCTTGCAGTGAGCGCCACTGCACTCCCGCCTGGGCCACAGAGCAAGACTCCGTCTCAAAAAAAAAAAAGAAAAGAATGACAAGAAAAAAATCTGTACAAGTTCAGAATAGCATAATTTTTATTTTTTGAATATTTCTGACCCACGGTTGGTTTTATCTGTGGATGTAGAGCCCCCCAAAAAGAAGGCCAACTGTATTTAAGTTAACTTTGCTTTGACTTTGTCCCTGGCACTAATCAGAGTTTTGTTGTTTTTGACCTAGAGAATCTGAATCTGGAGGCTTATCATAATATAATTACTGGCATTTAGCCACTCAATGCCTCTGTACAACCTGGAATTTCCCAAGCCATGATTGAAAGGTTGCTTTCTACTCTTAATTGCCTCACACTGTGGCAATGGCATATTAAAGGCTTTTGAGATTCAGGAGTCAGCAAAGTGAAATATTGAAAATAATTCCTGCCATCCACGGTCTCCTCCAGGTTGTCGTCTTAACACTTTCCCCCTCTGCTCTTCATAAAGAAAGAGGAGGGATCACCTAATCTTTTCCAGTGCTCACATCAAAATGTCTAAACCAAAAAGCTAGAAATATCTGTAACAGAATTTCAATTTTTTAATTGACTTTAATAAAACCATAACAAGGTAACATCCCCTGGAATTTTGACAATTAGAATTTCAAAGACCTACTGTATATTTTATCTTCTAAATTTAAAAAGAAAAAGAAAAAAAGAGAGTTTTGTAGTTCCCTTTAGTGCCATTTTGATGCTCTTTCTCTACTTAAAATATTAAATGTTTCTTGCAGCCTTAGTGGAAAGCGAGGACTTCTTATCGACACAAACTGTCTGCAATTAGAGCCGTGTACACAATCCACAGGAGGTCTGAGCTCTGGGCTTATGATCTGAGTGACCTCAAAGTGATTCAGAAGGACACACAGCAGTGCTGTTTTCCATGATTCCCTGATGTCTTAGTTCGTTTGGGCTGCTATAGCAAAGCACCATAAACTGGGTGGCTTATAAACAACAGAAATTAATTTCCCACAATCTAGAGACTGGGTAGTCCAAGATCAAGGTGCCAACAGATTCAGTGTCTGGTGAGGGTCTGTTGCTCATAAACTGTGGCTTCTTGCTGCATCCTCACATGGTGAGAGAGGCAAAGAAGTTCCTTCAGGCATTCTTTATAAATGCAGTGATCTCATTCATGCACTTATGCACATAACCTCATCACCTCCCAAAAGGCCCCGCCTCCTAACATTGTTACCTTGGGGATATGCATTTGGGGAGACACAAACCTTCAGACCATAGGACCTGGTGATGCTCCAAGGCTCACCTCCCACCCCCTAACCACCACCATGTCCCTACCTCTGCTGGGTACACAGTGCCCAGAAGCCAGAAAGTAGAAGTTAGACTTGTGCCAAATGTAAGCAAGGTAACCAAAGAATACCTAAACTTCAGAAAGCAGTAATTGGGTATACCTGGAGAGACCAGAGGGGGAAAATGGCTGTATGCTGCATTGTTACCAAAAAATGAAGTTCTGCGGTGGCTGTAAGGTGTGACTGAAGAAGCTCAATGTGTTTGAAGGATGGATTGCTAGATATTTCATCAGAACAGCAGGCCATTTTACCGAGGCCTTAAGCCCGTGGGGCTTCTCAACTATTGTTCAGGAACAAAGTGTGCAGTACAGCAGGGTAGGTTTCATCAAAATTGTTGATCTTAACTGGAATCCCTCATGATCCCTCCCCCCACAATATTTAAAACTCAGGAATAAAAATGGTTATGGGGCAGGTGTCAGAAAATTTCTTCTGTTAAGGACCAGATAGTAAATATTGTAGGTGTTGCAGCTATATGGTCTCTGTTGGAATGAACACAGCTATAGACAATGTGTAAATGAACGAGGAAGGCTGTGATCCGATTAAGCTTTATTACAAAAACAGGCAGCTGGCAGAGCCATAGTTTGCTGATCTCTGATATAAGGTGGGAAGCCTCACAATTTTAGAGCTGTCTTCCTAGACAGTCTGGCTATCGTACTCTGTGAATACGGCAAAGTCGCTCATCCAAAACAAGTGTTCTCTTACGGTCCCAACCCCTCTTGGTCCTGGGCCTCCTCCTCTTTTTTCCCATCCTATACAAATTATTCCTGATATCAATCTGAACTCATTACGCAAAAGAGTGCTGTCCTCAGGCTAATTGAGGTCCCATTTCTGATGGCAGCCAAACCCATTGTGGTCCAGCAGCCTCCTCTCCCATTTCCAGCAATGACTGATAACAGGAGAGGGCCTCTGTTTGTGCAGAGAGCTGGCTCAGCAAGCTCAGGAGAAAATGATTTTCTCTTTCAGTAGAATAAAAAAAGGTTAAAAACTCTAATGTTGTGTTTGCACTATATTTATTCTACATAATCCTGACCTTGAAAACTGAAAATCAACTACCATATAATCATAGGATAATTATCTGGTAATGTCTGCCCTTGAAACAAGAATGCTGGAAGCAGTTCTCAGAGCCTGTACCAGAGTAACACAGCAAAGGATAAGGAGGCTGGTAGAGACAAACAAAAACACTGGGTGCAAAAGAAAGGAGACTTCAGCTTGTAGATCAGTGCTTCTCAATATTCCTGTGTATATAAATCACCTGAGGTCTTCTTAATGTGTAGATTCTGATTCAGTAAGTCTGGGATGCAGGCTGAGATACTGCATTTTGCACAAGCACCGGGAAGTGACACAGATGATGCTGGTCCCAGGACACACCATGAGCACCTGAGTAGCAAGGTTTAAGCCTTCAGTAGTTACATTTGGTAAGAGATAGTCAGGCGATGAAAACCATCCCTTAGAGGTCACTCCATCAAACCTCATTACACAGATGAGGGAAGGGAAGCCCGGAGCTTAAGTGATTTGCCCAAGGTTGTACGTTAATGATAAAGCCTCTTGACTTCCATTCCAATGCATTTTACTCTCTAAAAACTTCTGGAAAGGATTCCCAAACAAAGATAAGAAACAGCTGGCAGGAGTTTTGTTGGGTTTTTTTTAAGTTTTTTTTTAAATTTTCTTTTTCATATGTGGAGATTGTGAGGCAATATTTCCAAATCAGGGTTTTCTTTTATTAATGATAATTTTGTACTAATTCTATAACAGTGTGTTTATTCCTCAGATGAATCCAGGGCTGTGTGAGGAATCAAAGAGGACAACTTCATGAAATGGATCATCAGATTTTCTATATTTTGAATAATTTTTTAATACAGAGATTCCTTGATTTTGAATAATCTGAAAAGCCATGATCTGAAAAATTGTGCCCTCTAATAACATGACAGATTCTTAGTCTAGAATAAAGGAAGCAAAATTCATGAACTTCAAGGGATTTCCTGAAAGAAGCTGATAAAACTATTTACTTTATCTCATGTATCTAGGAAAATTTCCAAGTCAGCAGTTGTGATTGTGGTCTCCGCTAGTCTAAGACAGCCAATTTCCTAGTCTCCTTCCAACTTTTACTCAAAGTCGAATATCACTACAAATAGCATGATATCCCTATATCATGCAATATGACATGAACTTAAAGGTTTCTAGGAAAAAAGAACATTACGTTTTTGAGCCTGCTTTGTTTTAGCTTCCCCTGACATTTAGGATGAATATAACTGGCCTATTCAGAGACTACCCAGGCAATCAAAAAACCAAGAATCCAAGCTGGGCTAAGCTAATGCTCAGGTTCAGTTTACAAATTGTTGTAAACACTTTCTGGCCAAATTAAACTCCATCTGGGGAACTGGGGAATGATGAAGTCTTCCCTAAATTCCAGCATTCTACCTGTCCACCTGGATCATCTTTGGAGCCCTCCACCATGGAGCCTCACAAGTTCTTCATAAAGATATGTCATAAACATCTCCTGACAACCTCTCTCCTCTCTGGGGTTTTGCACTTAGCTGTCTGCTTGGCAGCCAGTCCTGGAACATTTGATGGGGGCTCTGCTGCTGGCCCCCCTCCAAATGGGCAGACCTGGGAATTTGTAGCCATACATTTAAATAGCTTATTTAGCTGTGCATGTTCCACATTAATTGCTCCTTCCTTCAATTGGATTTGTGCTTGGTAATTTTCTCCTTACACAGAGAATACAGATAAAATTTGATGGGTTGTGCTGGCCCTGGGCCGGTCAACTGCAAAGCTTCCTTTCTCATTAGTAACTATGAGTGCAGAGGACAGGCAGGGATGTCATGGATCATGGGGAGCTGGTGGGGCTCCATGTTTCAGAGAGTGGGGATTGAACTTGCCTGACCCATGATTCATGCCTCTTCTTTTCAGCTTCCTCCCCAGATTTTGCCAATGGGAGACTGCAGGACCTGCCAAGCACAGGATGGCCCTCCAGAAACTTGCTTAATGATTTCAGATAGGGGGCACAAAATAACTATTTTCTATCACATTCTCTGACCCCCAAGAAGTGGTTGAACACAACACAGGGCATTTTATCAGTCCTAGGACTGCTTTCTGCACATACTTTAAGCATTCTTGAAAGAGTTGGCCAATATAAGCTCCTTGCATAAAACAGAGCTTATAATTAGCAGAAAATGTGTTTCTTCCTCATGCTGTGTTCTGGTTCAACAAAGTTTTAGAGTTTCCGTGCTATATCTTCTGTGTTTGGCCAGGCAGCCCATATCTGCCTATCTCGCTCCCCACATCTATTTACCCAGACAGGCGCAGAGTGACTCCCCAAGAGAACATTTTGGCCAGGACATTGTCAGTCCTCTAATCAGTGGTGGCAATGCCAGGCACTGAGAAATGCAAATCATCATCAAGAGAGAGTTCACCTAATGGCTCTGAGCACTCGGCTTGGGTTTAGAAGCTGCTTGTAGGTAGCTTTTTTTGCATACTGTGTGATTGTGACTTAGGGGCAATGCTGAAATTTATTAACAGCAAGCTTTGGCCTGACACCAGTGTCACACTGCATTAGAGAAAGTTCTGGCTTGCCTTGGTCATTCAGCCTGAGCCACAAACACCGCCTTGCTGCCTCTGATGGATCTGTAATGTTGTTGATTAACTTTGCCTGCATTGGTTAAGGTGAAGAACTCAAGATGCCATATCTCTCTATGTAGCAGTGTGCTGGTGAGCCTTGAGGGTCAGTGGAAATGGAGGGAAAACTCCACGAGCTTCTCCCTTGGGTATATTTGTTCTTCATTGAATGTTACCAGTGCTAAAAAAAGGGGAGTGCCTCAGACTTAAGATGTCCTTCTCCTTCTCACCATCCCTTGGACAAACCCACTCCTCTTCTTATCTCCCTCCCCTTATTAAAGGGTGCTACCATCTGCCTCAGTTGTCCAAGCTAGAAATTGGGGACTATTATTCATGCTTTATTCCTCCCATGTCTCCAGACCTCAATTAGTAATCAAGTCCTGTCCCTCAGTCTCCACAATGTCACCTAAATATACTGCTTCCCCTTACTGTCATCATCAGTTACCTAATGCAGTTGCTTAGCTAGACCTGCGAAATAGCTTCAGCTCTGTTCTCCTGCCCTCATATCCCTTTTCATCCCCATCCAGCTCAATCCACCATTGACACCTCATTGTTTTAGTCTAAAATACAAATCTGCGTATGGCAAACCTCTTGTTTAAAACTGTCAGTGGCTCATATCACCTAGAGGATAGCATTCAGACTCCTCTCCATGCCATTTAAGATCTATGGCCTCCAATAGCCCCTCAATTTTTTCCACCTCACTTTCTGCTGTTCTTCTCCATATTCTTAGGCAATAGTGAGCCCCAAGTATATTCTTTCCCAGCCAAGCCAAACCCTTTCACATGACCCCTTCTACCTGAAGTGCCCTTTCTCCTGCCCTCTCAGCATGGAAAATTTATATCCACTTCTCTAGCTTTTACTCAAAGAGAACATCTTTTGTAGGACTCTCTCTGATGCCTTTGACCTGTAATAATTTTTTATTTTGTTATAATCAGTACTTTATATGCCTATTACCTACCTAATGTCACATTGGGTCTTCTTAGTCTCTGAATTGCTAGCTCTGGCATAAATATTTTGCTCACTAGTATTGAGGAAAGGAGGGAAAGAAGGGAGAAAGGAATGAAGCTCATTAGTTTGTAACTTCAGAAGATAGTTTGTGCAGACAGCAAAAGTAATATGTTTTATATCCTTTATGTGGGTAGATATCCCATAATGTTAGGGTGAACAGAATTCTAAGCTGTTAGGGAAAATGGATGTTGTGGAAATATAACCTTTCTGAACAGCAAGTGGAATTTCCAACACATTAGGCAACTGCCTCACGTGTATTGAAGCCAGGTGTTTTATTAGAAAATTATAATTGTCCCACAAATCTAAGACCTCTAACCAATTCCAGGCCTAACAGAGTTAAAAGGCCACTGGCAAGATAATACCATCATCAACATGCCAAGATTCATCCCCCATTGTGCACCTGGGTCAGAGGGAGGCTGCCTGGGAGATAATCACAGCAATAGAAGTGTGGTTTCAAACCCTCTGACCTAGAGATCTGGATGGACAAGAGGGTAGAGTAGCCAAGAGAATTTGCTGGGGACAAAAAACAAGCTTTTAAGAAAGTCAAGGCACACATATTTTTTCCTTCAATATTCTCATTTATCCACAAAGAAAAACCTAAGAGGTTGTTAAGACAGAGGTTGGGGTTCATACTCCTGCTGGAGAATGACAATTTTAATGCCCATGGATGAAATGTTTATCTGCCAAATACTAAATATTTTCATTTTTGTGCAGCCACGACACACACACAGAGACACACATCATTTAACACAAGCAAAGCCTGAAAGTTAAACACACATAGGAACTGGAGTGGAGAGAAATATTGGGGAAGACCAGCAGGGCAGGATGGATTGAACAGCAGTCCTTCAACATGCCAAGTGTTCTCCCCATGGGTGTTCAAGCTCACACCTCCCTCCAGATGGCCAGAGGACCTCTCCAAAAACCTTGCTTCAACATCCATTTCCACCATGGAACTTGATCTTCAATCCCCACATATCAGAATCCAGAGTATAATATAAGAGAACTGGAGAAAACACATGCTTTATTTCTAGACCTGCTTGGCCATAATTTGTGACACTGGACCAACATTCCTAGTGTCTCTGTGTCTGTTTCCTTACACAGCCATGTGTCACTTAACAACACAAATATATTCTGAGAAATGCGTAATTAGGTGATTTTGTTGCTGTGAGAACATCGCAGAGTGTACTTACACAAACCTAGATGGTACAGCCTACTACACACTTGGGCTCTATGGTATATAGCCTATTTATATAGCCTATGGTATATAGCCTATTGCTCCTAGGCTACAAACCTGTATAGTAATGTTACCTTATTGAATACTAGAGACAACTGTAACACAATGGTAAGTGTTTGTGTATCTAAACATATCAAAACATTAAAAAGGTACAGTAAAAATACAGTGTTATAATCTTATGGAAACACTGATATATGCAGTATGAAGTTGACAAAACATCATTAGCTGGTGAGTGACTATATAAGAAATGAGAAGTAAATTACATGGGGCTGTCATTTTATCCAATGAGATGACAAATGAAAGCAGCGAGCTGACAGCTAACACACAGTAGATGTGTAATAAATTCCATTGACCCCCATTCCCTTCCAATAGTAGGCTCATTTGTTTAATATTTTGCTAGCATCTTTATTAGGCATCCACGCTCTCTGCTGAAATAAACAGAAAGCTTTGGTATTTGGCTGAGCTGATGACATTCAAAAGCCCCCACACATCCTCCTCTTCACATACATAACTGTCATGGGCTATGCAGGCCACACTGCATGTCAGAAAGCAAAAAGAATTTGAATTTTTTCTTCCTTAAGTGAAATAAAATGTGAAGAATGAACAAGATAAATAAGGTCATTTTCCTCATAGGTCTTGCTTATTTAGATCTCATTTTGAATGCACGGAAACTAATCTCTGCTATGTTGAGGTTTTTTTTTCCTCACACACTTAATGTGAAATACAGCAATAGATGGATGATGTTGGTGTTTGGAAGAGTGTGTGGTCAATAGAGGTTATAAAGAAAAAAATGAAAAGAAAGACAAAGTAATTTCTTTTCAGGAGGAAGTAAACTATTGATACTACATAAGTTGCTACTAGGTCAACCCTGAATTGATTTTCATGTAGTCAATAGTTCTGTATCCTTGCATTAATAGTTGGGTAGCAATAAGCACTGGCAACTTACCAAAATTAAGTAATATACTCAGCTATCTGCTATGTCTAATGACACAAATGTCTCTCAAAGCAAAAAGGACTTGGAAGACAAGGATATATGCCCTGATTTGTTAAAAAGAGTTATCCCATTTAAAAGGAGAGACAGAAATAAAAATCTTCTCTTATAGTGGCAGTTTGATCAGATATAACTATAGTTCTTCTTCCTTGTTGCCCCCAGTCCTCATTAAGTGGCCAAAGTATATATAATATTAGAGGAGAACCTATTATCACTGGTGGAAACAAAGAAATAGGGACATTCTCATGTTAGAAACTTTTAGGAACTTCTATAAGATATCTTATAGAACAGTCTGAATTGAAGAAAGACTGATATGCCCCATTCCTTTCCACCAATTAGCCACAGAGAGAATAAAAGACGCCCTCAAATACTCTTAACTGGGAGATGCGTGGGAAGGAAGTGAGGCTGGTTCTTAGGACAGTTGATTGACAAAAATAGGTTGCACCAGCATTGCTGAGCAGGGACAGAGACCTGGGAAACCCCAAGCAATCAGCCAGTGTGGGGACTGCACTCCCCTTCGAAGGACAGTCACAACTAAACCCTTTCCCAGAACCAAATTATCATTCATGGGGCCCAGAGAAAAATGACAATACAGAGCTCCTTATTCAAAAAACATTAAGAATTGTAAAAAGGTAACAGCAGAGCATTAAACCAAGCATGGAGCCCTTCTAATCACGGAGACTTGTGTGATTTGCACAGGTCATGCATCCATGAAACCCGCCCTGCCTCCTTTTTGCCCCTGTTTACCTCTGTGACTACTCAAAATCTCACTTTCTTGATCATCTAACACCTCCCAGGTCATCACCCTTATATTGGTCTTAACATCTGCAACTCTGGCCCACCCCACCCTTGAACTATACTCTCTGGAGCACATGAACTATAGCCAGAAAGATCCCCTCCCCCATAAACTTCCTCTTCCTCTTGTTTAACCCAGCTGTGCCCTGGGGCCACTGCCTCACCTGAAGCCTTGTCAAGCTGAGGCTGTTGGCTTTTCCTCTCACCTCTCCCAGTGAGACAGGAGTAGGTGTCCTCCTCGCCGCACCCTCCACTGTGCTTCCAAATAGTCTCCTCTCCACCCTGCTTAGAGGCCATGCCCTGCAGCTGTCCACCTCTCCCAAGCATATTGTTTCCTGATCTCCCAGTCACACCCTGCACTCCTTCTAGACTGCCAGAATCATAATGTATCTCTCCACCTCTACTCTCAACATCCTCGTGATGAATCTAACATCCGAATGGATAACATATCCCAGATCCCATCTAGCCTATTGGTTCCTCGACCTCCACACCATCCCCTACTCCATCCCATCTCCACCCCCACCATCCCAGAAGCATAAAACAGGACCATGACACAATCTCAATTTCAGGTATTCCACTCTCTCAGCAGTCCTTCATGTCTTCCAGTTCTTCACTTTAGCATTCCCAGTGAAGAAATTGTTTATCCTCATCAAGGCCTCTAACCAGTGACTCCCTCCACTGTGGCATTATCCATTACCCCCACCCTCTGTCTCACTATCTGCTTGGCCCAACTTGGTTCCCATAGTTCATGATTATAACTACTCCCTGACAGGGTCTTCATCTCTTTTACCTCTCTCCCTCCTTTATACTCATGTGGGAAAATGCCAACTATCTGCCTGTTTAATGTTAACTTGAGTCAGAAAATCAAAAGGTATCCCTGAATGAAAGGCTAAAATAATAAAACAATGACCACACCTGACTATCCTAGTGACCTTTTTTGTTTTTTAATTTCAAAACTAAAGAAAAAATTGTGAGCATCTAAAGATAAAACATACTACTTTAAAGGAACAAAAACCAGACTGGATGATGACTTCTTCCCTAAAATCCTAAAACAATGAATTAATGCTACGTGATTTTTAAGACTAAAGATTCTGATGAGCTTCCATTCATATATGAGGACAACAGAAAGTCTCAGCCGTCCCAAATCTCTTTGTTGTATGTCTCATACTTTCTGAAAATAGGCACACTCCACATGGCCAAAAGTTGAACTGAAACCAGGAAATCAGAACTGGGAATGTCGCGGCATACAAGAAGAATAAAATCAGTAGAACAATAATTCCAAAGAATTATTGTTAATAGGATTACAAAGCTGAAAGTCAAAAGTAAATCTTGTTTTGAGTATTAAACATAAAATGCTTAGACCAGTGTCTGGATATGGTTGGCTATTATTATTACAAAGAAATAAATGTGTTAATGATAATCTCAATCTAAAGACCCAAACTATTTGAACAAATTCAAGAAATGTGATGGGGAAGGGAGAGACGGAGTAGAAAATACAGAAAGAAAGGAAATAAAATCATATTATACTTTTTATCCTATGCCAGGTTAAGTCAGAAAATACCACTTTGTTCTTGAAGTGGATAACAGAAACAAGATGTGTGTGCAAAATAGACACATACTATATAATTCCATTCATATGAGGAACCTGAAGTAGTCAAAACCATAGGCACAGAAAGCAGAATGGTGGTTGTCAGGGGGTCTAGGGGAGGGCAATAAAGGGTTGCTGTTTAATGGGTACAGAGTTTCATCTTCGCAAGATAAAGATTTCTGGAGCTTTGTTGCAAGCTACTGAACTGTACACTTAAAATGATTAAGATGTTAAATTTTATGTATGTCTTATTACAATGAAAAATAGAAAAAAACAAGTTTATTTTCAAGTCAAAAAAGATAGAAAGAGACTCTATCCTATTACTATCGTTCAGAATTTTTTGTCATGATTTTGTAGAAATATTTTGGGCACTAACATGTATTGTGTTGAAGAAGTATTTAGCTGACATTTAAAAATTCCTTTATAGTTAAATAAATTACTAATTATTCCACTCATATAAGATTATTTTTACAACTGTTAATAAAAGTAGTAAATTCATAAATTAAAAAAAGATGTGTGTGCATGTAGCTACACATGTGGATATTGCTTCATTTAAGACTGTGATCCTCATTCTAGGAGTGTACATCCTGTTAACCCAGAGAGGTTTTGTTCTGTTTTGCTTGTTTTGTTTTTCTAAATACACAGGCCACTGTCAAGTAATGCAGTGCAGCAACGCTATAAATGCCATGTCTAGGTGTTCACCCAACTATTCACTGCATAGGAGTTTGCCTTTGCAGGCCTAATGAAGGTATGGCTGAAAGGAGAGTAGGTTCCCTTAAAAATGGGAGCCGGCCACCCCTGTACCAGACCCTCAAGTCCATCTCCCGGGACAGCAGCCTGTCTCTGGCAAAAAAAAAAACTGGCCAACCTCAACTCACACAGCTATAAAGCCAGGTCCGCCCAGGGCCAGCAGGAAGACACAGCCTCATCACCATCCCTGGGATGGTCTTCATGACTCCCACTTCCTAAGCCCAAGAGACTTCTCACGGCAGAGTAGCAGGATCTTTCCCCAGGGCCCCCTGTGGCCTTGCCTCTCCCCACCCCTACTGTGGTGGAAGAGGTCTTTCAGCACAATAACATCAAAAGAATGCTACACACAAAGCATCTTTAATAACAATAGCAGTTGTTAAATGTTTGAAATGAGAATAAAAATTGCCAGGGAGCCTAGCAGGATTAGGAAAACACTGAGAATCAACAGGTCCAGACTGGAAGATAAAAGATGTGAGGATACCAATTATCTCAGAGTCGATTTTTTAAATTCTCAACATTTCATATATAGGTTACTATTCATTCATTGAGAATACATTTAGTGATCCCCATGTAAGCGGGGGAGACCGCCATTCCAGATCCATTTGATGGAATTCCTTAGTGATGTTTGTTCTCATTTTCCCATAAGTGTGTGCTTGAGACATGTTCAGAATGGTCATTCTAATGAAACCTGCCCGCGGGGAAGACATGTGGTTCTCTAAGACTCTATCCCCTTCACCTAGCGTAAGCAAGAGAGACTCGGTTTTTTCTGAATTTGCAGTAAACATAATGCAAAGTTAGGGGGCTGCTCAGCGGAGAACGCGAAGATGTGCCCCACAGGCATGAATCTCCCTGATTACAGCCAGCACAGCCATGGCAGCTGGCTGGATGGAACCCGTAAACACCTGCCTGCACTCTGTCTGCGGCACAGGATAATTAATACCCTGCTCATAGCCTTCCACTTTCCATTTGCTTTGCCAATGCTGCTGTTACATACCACTGACTTTCCCAAATTGGATATTAATGATTTACTCTCTGAAATCTAAGGGTGCTTACAAAACATGATAGTGTGAATGGCTGAAAAAAATAATCATGAAAAGAGAAAACGCTCCAATTTTTCCATGTGGGTGTGGCCAGGCAGATGATTTGTGGAAGGGTATGTCTTTCGGTTCTTGACTATGAAGGCAGAGGCGGATAGACAGAGAGGGGCTGGCTGCCCATCTGCTTCAAACATCCCCGTTGCCTGCTGACAGCGTGGAGATTGATCGCAGGATGAGAGCTCTTCCCACGTAGCTGAACTAATAGAACTCATTCATATTCTCTCACAAAAAGCAAAAGGCGCTCCTGCCAGCAGCAGAAGAGTACAACGATCAGATGCTCAGGTCCTGCCCGGGGCTTGCCAGGTCCACCTCCAGCCCCAAGAGCTCTTCACCCCCTTGTCTCTGCTAGTCCATGTTGATCACTACCTGGGAAACCTGGCTCACCTCCTCACAGGAGCTGTCTTTGACTTATTCCATATGGCACGTATTAATTTTCTCCATATCCTGCCACCCCTCTTGTATGGAATCAATTTACCAGTCAACTTAGAGAGGTTAGGATATTGCATGGTAGTGGGTTTCAAATGACAGTATTTTTCAAGCAAAGGCACACTGCTTACAACAAAAACATTTCGCAGTTGCTGTGACACTTTGTACCACAGGTGGTCTCATTTTATTCTCATATCTTCATACAACCCTATAAACTGGATCCATGGACAGAGCATAGCTATTATGCTGACTTTGTTGCAACATCTTCAATACTGCTATTTTGACAAGGAGATATTTTTTAATGTTTTAAAGTAATCGCTAATATTTTAGGGTTTTTTTCTGTTTTTATTTTGGTAAGAACACTTAACATAAGATCTACCTTCTTATCAAATTTTTAAGCACACAATGGAGTATTATTGGCCGTAGGCACAATGTTTTACTGCAGATCTCTAGAATTTATTCATCTTGCATAAGTGAAATTTTGTACTCATTGAACAACTTCACATTTCCCCCTCTCCCTTTCCCTGGCCACCATCAACTCAGTTTCTGAGTTTGACTTTTAGATATCTCATATAAGTGAAATCATGTAGTGTTTGTCCTTTTGCATTTGGCTTATTTTACATAATATTATGGCCTCAAAATTCATTCATTTTGTTGCAAATGGTAGAATTTCCCTTTTTAAAGGCTGGATAATATTTCTTTGTTTGTATATGCCACATTTTCTTTATCCCTTCATCCATTGATGAACAATTTAGGTTACTTCTATGTCTTGGCTGTTGAGAATAGTGCTGCAATTAACTTGGAAGCTCTCATGCCTCTTCAAGATCCAGATTTCATTTCCTTTGGCTATATACCCAGGAGTGGGTCTACTGGATCATATGGTAGTTTTATTTTTAATTTTTTTAGGAACTTCCATGCTATTTTCTATAGTGGCTTCAGCATTTTACGTTCCCACCAACAGCATATAAATGTTCCAATTTCTCCATGTTCTCACTAACAATTGTTATCTTCTATGTTTTGATAATAGCCATCCTAAGAGATGTGAGGTTATACCCCATAGTAATTTTGATCTGCATTTCCCTAATTTTTGGTGATGTCGAGCACCTTTTTATATACATATTGGCCATTTGTATATCTCCTTTGGATAAATATCTCTTCCATTTCTTTGCCCACTTTTTAAATAGGGTTATTTGGGGTTTTGCTATCAAGCCATAGGAGTTCATTTCTTATATATTTGGGATATTAGCCTTTTATGAGATATGTCATTTTGCAAATACTTTCTTCCATCCTGTAGGTTGCCTTTTCACTTTTGATGGTTTCCTTTGTATTGGTCTTGGCAATGATTTCTCAGATGTGACACCAAAACACAAGCAACAAAAGCAAAAATAGACAAGTGGCACTGCATCAAACTAAAAGGCTTCTGCACAGCAAAGTTTTGATTTACTATTGAATTGTGTTTTAAAAAAAAAAGAGAGATCTTCTCCCTATTCCTGAGCCTTACTTCATAGTTAATAACCTCCACTCACCCTGTCTCCCCTTTTCCACACATACACAGGATGGGAATCTGAGACAGGATGAGAGATGGAATGGTATGAAGAGTATCAGAAAAAACTTTTGCATACATTTCTTGGTGACACCAAAGAGAAATACTACGTTTTAACCATGTCAAGGGGGCTTTCTAAAGTGCCTTGCATAAGTAGGTTGTGCAATATTCTATTCTAGGCACATAATAGACAAAGAAACTAAAGCTTACTAGGCAAGCAGTTTGACCAAGTGCATACAGTTGGTGATCCAGTGCTGTGCTTTATCCAGCACCTTTGAGTTAATATCCTGAGTTTTTATAATACAAAGATAATGGAGTTTGCATCCCAGAGAAAGTGCCCCTCAACATTTAAGGGGTGCAGAGGGAATAGCATGTGTGGAGTTGTGACAGCCTCTTCAGATAATCATCTTATTGGCGCCCCTCAAGGCTTCCAGGCAGGCATTGCTGACATTCCCATCACTCAGGTAAAGAATTTTGACCAAGGCCAAATAACTGAAAAATCACTGGATCAAACTTTGATCTATGTGACAGTCAGTCTGGCCCTCAAACCTGGAAAACTAAAATTCCAGCTTTAAATCTCTCTCTGGTTTTTGGCTCTTTCCACATTTTCACCAATACCTGTGCCATGATAATGTTATTACCATTTCCTTGGTCAACTAAAATATTTCTGGGAGAACTGATGAGCATTTCTTTGGAGAAGTGAGAGGTGGTGGACACAGCAACTGGTGCCAGGAGGTCAGATGACAACTAGCAGGGATGGCACATACTCAGGGCAGTGGGGGCTCTGCCTCTTTTTGTCATGTGTCATTGTAGACTTCCTCCAAGAAACAAAGAGCAGGAGAAAGGACGAACATGGAGGAGAAGCAGGAATGTAGAGGAACAGAAAGATGGAAAGTAGAAGTGGCAGTAAAATCAAATGACTGTGCTGTTATTTTGGTGAAAAGTACATAAAGCCACCTCTTTCCTAAAAGGTTGGGAAGGTTTACAGCAGGCATATGTGTACTATTAACAGGGAGTATGGAAAGGGGCAAAGACGTGAGTATTTGACTATGACCAAGTTCCAGATCAGCCAGATATTTAATCTCTCTGAGCTTCAGTTTCTGCATTTGCAAAGAAGGACAATACTAACACCTTCCTCACAGTTCTCTGGAGAGAATTAAATGAGATAAAGCCTAAAGCATCCTTACCTCAGTGGCTAATTTGTAGCAAACATTCTGTAAATGTAAGCTAATTTATTAAAGGTTAATGCAATAGTTTGGAAGCTTGACCCCTCTAAATCACATGTTAAATTTAATCCCCATTGTGCCAGTGTTGGGAGGTGGGCCTAGTGAAAGGTGTCTTGAGTCATGGGGATGGATCACTCCTGAATAGACTAAGGCCCTCTCTGGGAGGGGGTTCAGAAGTTCTCACTCTGTTAAGTTCTTATGTGAGCTGGTTGTTAAAAAGAGCCTGGCAACTCCTCATTCTCTCTCTTGCTTCCTCTTTTGTCATGTAATCTCTGCATACGCTGACTCCCCTTCACCTTCTGCCTGTGAGTGGAAGCAGCCCAAGGCCCTCATCAGATGCCGGCACCATGCTTCTTGCACAGCCTGCAAAACTGTGAGCCAAATAAACCTCTTTTTTTAATAAATTACCCAGCCTCAGCTATTCCTTTATAGCAACATGGACTAAGACAGCTAATGAAAAACAAACAGGGAATGCACAGACTTAAAAAAAGAAAGAACAAAGTAAATCAGCTATGTGTATTAATAAGGTTGGTATGGGTGAGCTTAAAATTAACAGTCAAAGCTCCATGGAGAAAAAACTCCTTATCTCTTATTTTCACAAAGCAACAAACACACTAGGCAGTAGGCACAGGAAGACATTTTCCTTACATCTGAAGGAAGTTTCTCAGAGGCCACAGCACTCAGTGAAGTCTGTGGCTGGAAACAGGTTTGTGCCTTTAATGGTGGCAGGGGACAGGGCGAATGGTGTCATCTCTATTCAAAGCCACAGATGTGAAATTGTGTACTATAATAAACAATTTTTCAATAGGAGTAGAAACTCCCCAGAGCTGTGCTGAATGACGTTCATAATAGTACAAACCTCAGTTAATGGTTACTGAGAACTCACTGCATGCCAGGCATGGGTCAGTGTACAAATCAAAACTAAACTGGCACATGTTATCACTTACCATGGACACATTATCATCCTCATGTTAAACATGAGAAAAATGAGATATAGAAATGATGGGCTACTTCCCCAAAGTCACAGAGCTGATAAACTGTGGAGTGAAAATGCAATCCCAGAAATTCCAACTTCAAAGCCCAAGTTCTTAATGATGATGCTGAATCTAAGCATAACTAAACATAATTTCTGGGGCTTCAGAGATTCAAATGTCCTTTAGTAGCAGAATTCTAAAGATCAAAATTGCTGCTGCCATTTCAACATAGCCTAGTGGGTATAGAAGGAAATAGAAAATCCTAGTTTAAGATTTAGGATTAGCCACATGGCTGGCTCCTTTCCTTTAAGATAAAAAACTGGAGCTCCTTAATCGGTCACTCCTGAATTTTGGAAATATCAGCTAACCTCCCATAGTTTATTCTCTAATGCTCTACCCTCTAATCTCAATCAGGGAATTAGGTCCTGAAACTGAAAGACAAAATTCAGGATTCAGAATGTGCCAATGACCTTCAGGTAATGAAAAAGGCAAAACGATAAGAAAGTAATTTTCTCCAAGAAAATTCTTCTTTAATGAAAAATATCAGCAATTATGTCTAAAGTCTTAAGAGACAGACAGAAACCAAGAATCACCTATGAGGTCTGCCCAGACAATGTACAGAGTCTAATGTTCCAACGAAGTCACTTAAGCCTTAAAGCACAGGTCAGTCCTTCTAGTAAAAGCCCAAACATATGCAAATACCCTCTCTGCTTGTCATCATTTCTGGGGAAATGGTTTTCATACCTTAGATACTACCTCAAATTCTTATCTTTCAATAAGCCAATTAATTGTTAAAGTGAGGAATAGGTTGAAGGACAGGAAAAAAGAAAATAGAAGATTCCAGAACACACTGAAAGAAATAATTCATATATCTGTGCTAGATACTTTACTTCTCACCTCACCCTTAGCCCTTTCATGGGGAGCCAGTCCCTAGAGCAGAGAGTAAACCTCATCCAACACAGCAGCAAACCCCAGACTGAAGATGTCGATGTATTGGCTGGTCTTCGACTAATCAGATGCTCTCATTAATTTTAAATTACATCCTGGAAATCGATCCGTAATTGATAGCAGGTACTGAGGATAACATGGTACGTAGACTCAGGCCTTAGGCAGCCTTATTGGATATAGAGCAAGGGGAGTAAACAGAGGACACTGGTCAAGAGAAGGGTGACCCAGATCTGAGAGATGCAGATGTGAGGATGACATGCACCCCAGGGAGATGGGCAAAGGAACCTCGAGGTCCAACCTTCCAGGCTGCTCCCCACAGCTCTGCAGCAACCCCGCCCTAATCATGTGATCTGAATTGAGTGATGTCTATCCCTTTCAGTGAAAGGAGCTTGACTCTAATCATACTAACATTATTAACAATTATTAGCATTTGCTGGGCTCTTGTTTTGTATCTGACACTACACTAAAACGTTTAAGCTGATGTCCCATGATTCCTCACATTATTCCTATAAGAGCAATACTATTGCTATTCCCATTTTACAGCTGAGGAAACTGAGGCTCTGACAGGTTAAAGGATTTGATTATAACTCCCAGTTGAGGCAGGAATTATTATAAACACAGTTGGATTGACTCAGAGTCCACAGTTTTAGCTGCCATACTAGACTGCTCCTAGACCCCTAAGCTGAGCAATCCCATGGATCTAGGAACTATGGAAGAGCAGTCCACACTTCTAAAAGTCTTTGCTTGTTCTTTATTTACAGTGACATTGTAATGAAGTCAAAAGAGTGTAAGTTTCGGTATGGGTAGAGTTGGGTTTAAACCCTGGATCTGTAGTTTACTTAGTCAATCCTCAACCCTCACTTTCTTCATCTATAAAATAAATGATCACACTCAGACACACACACACACACACACACACACAAATGTCCAGTCCTTAGAATTGCAAACAGATTAGATGGTCAATGTGCCTAGCACAAAGCAGAGTACGTAGTAAAATAAATATCACTTCCCTTCCCTTAATTGCAGGGTAATTTAGAAGATTAGAGAGCTACATGTTCAAAGTACAGTGCATGGTGCAACAGTGTGTGAGGGGTGTAAATTATGTTTCTCTCTACCCTTCACCCTGCAGCTTCAGGGTGAAAACCTTGGCCATCAGCTTGTAATACAGGCCAGAATTACTTCTAGGCAGCATTTACATGAGAAGCACTGCTCTCAAGTCAAGGATATTTTTTTCTTCTAAAATGTGTGCAATTCTCAGAGAACTAAGAGAATAGTCTGTAAGAAGAAACACGAGCCTGCTTTTTCTTAGAGTTGTCACTGGTGAATAGTGTTACTGTAGGTTAATGAATTTTTCCAAAAGAATGAACTGTCTTGGGGGTAAAGAAGAGTGAGAAGAGGGAAGAGGGTGATTACCTGTGTGACTGTAGCACAGGCTTCATTAACTAACATTTCTCACTGCAGACAATTGCAAGTAAATCTCAGCTAGACAGAGATTCATGTCCATCAGAGATGGATTCTAACCATACATCCGAAGAGCAAGTGTCTCTCTGCTCAGCCACCATATAACAGTAAATACATAGCTGCAGGGTTTCTGTGGGTGGTCTCAGGATTTCCGCCTCTCTTAGACAAAACAAGAACAGGGAATGCTACTTAACCCTCTTTTTGCAGAAATGCCACCCACCCTATGTGGTCATCATAGTAGGTGACCACAACCACAAGGAGGGGAGGGTGAGATGCCCACCTCTCACCTCCATATAACCACCGGAAAAATCTCATTTTGTCCAGGGAGAAGTTGAGTTTCTGTAATCAGGTCCTTTTCGTGCTTGCCGCTGAAGTGTACTCATGCACCAGCAACATCGGTGCCACCTGAGAGGTTGTTAGAAACAAGGCAGAATCTCACATCAGCCCTCCTAAATCAGAATCTCTGCAGGGGATCCTAAATGCACATTCTGACTCAGGTGGTCTGGGGTGGGACTTGTGATTTTGCATGTCAAACAAGCTCCTGAATAATGTCAATGTTGTTGGATTAGCTCTGCAGAGAAGTGACAGTTTGGGATGAAGCCGATGCCTTAGGACAGAGCTAATCCTAGCCAGGTTATTCAGAATGGGTGGGGGGTTTGCCGATCAATTACAATTTTGAGCCTGGCTCTGTCCTAAGGCGTCTGCTTCATCCCAAACTGTCACTCTTCTCCTACTACTGGTGCAGGGCCAGCTAACAATCCACCCAAAATATGTGCACCTCCTTCAACAGTATGCAGTATTTTCTGGGAGGGAGTTCCCAGTCATTGCTGAAGCTTCCCACCCCTTCTCCAAGAAGCCATGTGACCAGCTGTGGCTATGGGATCTGATGGTAGAGCAACAACAGGAAAGAGCTTGGGTCCCTGAGTCAACACATGGAAGAAAACACTCTCTGACCTTCAGTCATGTATTGGATTGTTACATGTGCAAGAAGCAGATTTTTCTTGTTTTATGCAACTGAGACTGGGATTTCTTTGTTCCAACAGCTAGTGTGCACTCATACTAACACCACCATTACTCTCTCCCACAAATTATAATAGCTACATTTTATTGAGTTGTGGCTACTCCCTGCTAGACACTGTGCAAGATGTTTTATATATATTGTCTCTAATCCCCTACAGCTATTAGGACTCTCATTTTGCAGAGGTAGAAACAATAGCTCCAGAGAGATTAAATAACTTGGTCAGGATCCCACCTCTAATGAAAACAGAGCTGGAATTCAAACCAGGTGTGTTCTATTGTGAATGAGAGCAAAGCTGGGACTCAGTTCCGTGGAGATTTGTTGGCAGAATGAAATGAGATTTCATCTCCGGCTAGTTATTACCACATCAGACTGCTGTCTTCATGGACTTTCCCAAATGGCCTTTCTCAGCCTGCCTCTGTCCTTGGTACTCTCCCTTGCAAGGTAATTACTAATAAAAATCCTGATGATATGCAGAAATTCTCCACCCATCTAGCCCCAGGCCCCTCCTGGAGCTGCCTTGTCTCCAGTGTCTCTCTGTATTTTGCAGCACAAAATGGTTGCTGTCAAGATGGTTTAATGTTCTTTGTAGGTCAAGGCTATTGGTTGCTTCAGCAATGCCCTTATTGCTGAGCTAGCCTCCTTCACCAGCTGTTTCCGTTTTTGTGGGGTTTTTTTCCTTCCTGCTTCTCTTCCTCGTTGCACAGACACCTACATGCAGAGCCATAAGAGCAGCTGCACTAAAGCCTTCCCAGCCAGGGGAAGCACTAACACTTGGGGAGTGGGGATGGCAGAATCAGCTGCTGTATGCCCTAATCACAGCCCTGGTCCGCAGACCCTCAGGTCTGAGCCCCTACCATGGACTGCCAGCCTTCCCAGCATGGCTCATGTGCCCACTTTCCCTCAGTCTTCACCTCACAGCCTCTGTTGCTTCCTGCATGTGAATTCAACCAGTAAGATGGTCACTCTCATTTCATGGCTCCTCTGGTATCCTCAGCCATGCTGTTGAAGTTACTGCAGGAGAGAGGGCAGTGATGAGTGAGTTCCAGGATTTGGATTAGGTTCAGGAACAGAATGTGCATTCTACCTAAGATAGCCAGGGGCCAAAATGACGAGAATAAAGAGGATCCAAAGTTCTTCACCTATGAACATCCCCCATACCTTGCACATAGTAGGTACTCATCAAGTACTCATAGTAGTACTATGTAGTAGTACTCATAGTAGTACTATGTAGTAGTACTCATAGTAGTGGTAGTTTATGCTCATTATACTCATTAAGTACTAGTTGCATAAACAATTGAATTAATTAGCAAATAAATAAGTAAATGTTAGATGTATATGCAAAAATGTCCTAAAGTAGAACTGAAGATTTAATGTATCAAAGGGATCAGGGATTATGGAACACTTTATGAAGGATGAGTCATCTAAGCTGGGGTTTGGAAGGATGAATAGAAGCTCCCTATGGAGATAGGAGGTAGAAGAACTCACTTCTCAGATATTTCCATCTGTGCTTTGTACCTACAGACGAAAGCTGAGCTTCATGATAACTTTACCTTGAGTGCACTCACCAATAATGAGTGTCTTGTTCTTTCCCTGATGTGTTTATCGTCTCTAATTAGATCCTCATGGGCCTCTGATTACTCTGCCAAAGCAGCTGATGAAAAGAAAGTCTGGAAAGCAGGCTCATTGACAAAGCATTGCTAACTGATTTGAAAGGAGCCCCCAGACAATGCTTCCTATGCTGACAGCAAACACTGAGAGCTGGTGTGGCCTGCACTGAGCATGCACATGATAAGGGATATCTTATTTAGTGCTCACAACAGCCCTAGGAGGAAGACTGAGGCACAGAGGGTTAAATGATTTATCCTGGTTGGCAGGACTTGGAAGAGCTGTAGAGCCAGAATTCAAACCCAGTTTGTTGATATACCAGGATGCCTGGACACCTCTGTGTGAGGGCAAGCATGATCCTTCTATCTCTGACCACCATAGGCTAAGGCTCCGGAAGGAATCATTTTCTCCAGTTCACAGGTTATGCAGTACACAGTGGCACTTGCTGAGGTAGCCAGTGAGATGGAAATCTGGCCCATCCCTCCGGTTCATGCTGTGCTTTGGGCCTGGAAGAGATGCCGCTTGCCTTGGCTCCCTGACCCACATGTGCTGGGGATGTGCCTAGAATTGGCACCTTTTTTCTAATTTCATGTGCCCAAGGGTAACACTTTTTCCAAATTTGCTCAAAGGCACTGTATAGTATAGACTGCAAGCTTTTCAGCTCCTCAGTGATATAACAAAGTAGATTATTTGGGGGACTTTGAGGTCAACAAGGCTGAGACTCAAATCCCTGCTACTTAACATGCAGATTTAACATGCTGCATGACCTGAAGCAAATTATTTAACTTATCTGTATCTCAAAAGTCTTAATTTATAAGTTTAGGATAATATTACTTGTCTCAGCAGGAAATTCGAGTTAAAAATGAAGTTGCAATGGCTTTGGTGCTTAACAAATATTAATTCCCAGCAAACAAATCTGGGAGCCAGAAAAGGCCTGGGAAAAAAACTAAAGTATTTCCCAGGGCAGAATGAGTTGCTCAGTGGAGACATTACCCTCCTACATTTGGGAGTGTTGTCCAGATTTTACCTCCTTCTCACATAGGAGTGGACATGTAGTCTTTCTGTCCCAGGCACCATCAACCTTTCTCCCCAGCCTTCTAGCAGCGTGGAGTCGGGGACTGGGGGGCAGAGAATCCTCTTCCTGCAATAACTGAAAGCCTGCTCATGTTCAAAGACTAAAGAAGTACCAGAAAGAATTCTAGAAGGGAGCTCAAGCACATGGCTGTGGACCAGTAGTAGACAGACTTTTACAATGAAGACATGGTAGTCTGAGTTCTTGTACCAATTCTGACATAGACCCCCCTGTGTCACAGAGGTAGTTATTTTATTTATCAGAGTCTAAGTAAGTGCTGGACAAGTTGAGGATAATAACATCTCCAATAAGATTATTGCCTAATGACACTATATTTAATTATCATAAATGGTGCCAAGCATATATAAAAATGCAATAATAGTTTTTGAAGATGTTATTAACATATCCCTTATTTACCTTGGAGTCTGGTTTGTAAGAATCAAATGTGACTATTTACATGCAAATGTTTAGCAAATTGCAAACACTCGGCAAATATTACTCCTTGTGCCTCAGTTTCCTCATCTATAAAGGAGGGAGCCTATTGCCTGTCTTTGCCCCTCTATCTCACAGGGTTGGTAAAGAATCAAATTAAGTGAGAGATGGAAGAGTGTGGCTGTGAGCTGATTCAGTCTACAATGCGTATTGTCTTTGGTTCTGTTAACAGGATACAAAACAGCAGGGAGCTGCTTTCAAAAAAACAAATACTCTTTCAAGAAAGACAGCTTTCTCCCAACCCTCCCTGGTTCCCTACAAGGAGTCCTGGGGCCATTTTTACTTGACTGTGGGGCCTGAAACCCCTGTCAAACAAATATACCAATGTTCCCCAGATCTCTAAAAGTAAGAAGGCCCTGCAGTCTGTCTCAGAGCCCCTGAAGCCCATGATATAGAAGAGGAATCAGGAGCCACTGCTTAGGTCCCCATCATACCCCATCCCCAACTCCCAGTGCTGTCACCAGCACCCCCACTGAGTCACAAGGGACCCCCTCAGGTGCCTGCTGGGAAAGGAGCTGGAGGGAGGGGCTCAGGAAACAAAGGTCCTGGTTTAATTAATGGCTTGTGTTTGTGCAAGAGAGGGAGCTGGGAGAAGGGAAAGGCCTGCAACCAGGCAGGGTGAAGCAGGGCTGGCAAGCACAGGCCTGCAGCCGATGTTCGCTACTGTCCAGGGGCCCCCATCTGGAAGGCAGGATCAGCTTGCCTCCCTCTGACGGATCACCAGGACTCTGAGTAGGTCAAGCCCTCTTGGACATGTGTCTCCATGTGGTGCAGTAGAAGTGGCATTTCAGGGTAGAAATGTCAGAGAGAAAGGTCTTGAAACAAAGATGCTGACCTCTCCCGCAGTTTTTTAAGCCTCTGAGCCCTGAAGCACCAAAGGCCACCCCAGAGGCCCTCCTGTCGAGCCGAGGTGCTCACAGGTGCATGACACCGCAGCTGTAAATGCTCCAAACCCCCCCACACCCCAGGAGACCTCCACCCAGCCAGCTCCCCTGCCCATTTCCATGTGCCCAGCTCTCGGGAGCCCAGGCCATGGCTGATTAGTCTCAACTTGAATGTAGAAATAAAGACATGTCTGGAGCACAGAAGAACTTGACCCAAACTGGGAAGCCCAAAGGCCTTCTGCCAAGGCAGCCTCCTGAGCTACTGGGAAAGAATGAGTAGGGGTGAGCGAAGGGCAGGGCTGGGCGGGGCATTCCTGACAAAGACAGTGTCCTCAGAAAATTCATGGAGGCACAAGCTAGTAAAGTGAGCAGACAGGTTCCAAGGGGTTGAGGTTGCTAGGAAATGAGAAGATGTCACTGGAGAGTGAGGCCAGACAGGGCAGTGGGCTGGGCACCATTGAGGATGTGTGTCTGGGAGGCTGGGGGTTTTGGAGGCTGGGCACGGGCCTGAGGGCAGGAAGGAACTGCTGCAGAACCTGGCACAGGTGACGATGGGTGCAAAGGTGCATTCAGAACAGAACACTCATGCTCAGAGCCACATGGAGACTGTATTGGAAGGATCAAGACTGGCAGAGAAATAGACAATCCCATAGGAGGCAGAGATTGTCCAGGTAGAATTTTCCATAAAACTTAAGTCCTGCTCAGATAAGGAGTTTGATATCTGAAGGAGATGTATGGTGGTGAGGGGTTGCAGGCAGGCTATTGGCTCATAGAATGGTAGGTGGCACTGCCAGTCAAAACAGGGAACACCAGCATCTATGGAGAGTAACAGGTGGGGAGGCAAGTTGAATGTGAGAAGCCTGGAAGATCTGCATTTGGAGATGAACAGTTGACCACTGGCTTATCAATCTGTGGCTCCTTCTTGCCAACATTCTGCAGGGACCACGTCTGCTGGTTCACAGTGCACACAGTAGGTGCACAAGAATGCGCAATGAGTGCATGCTTTGAGGCATAGGGCAAATCACTCAAGAGATACAAGGATGGAAAGAAGAAGTATATTAATACTCATCGACACAAAGATATATTGATGACATACAGACTGTGCCCTATTTAATTTGTACAATAATCTAGGAAGTAGTATTCTTGTTACCATGTTGCTGCAGAGGAAGTTAAAGACACAAAGGAGAAAATCAGTTATCCTTTCCCACAGCTTCTTAGAGGCACTACTACACTTCAAGCCTTTTCTAGCTTGAGAAGCCATGGTTGGGAGCTCCAGCTGTAGAGTCAAATGGTCCCAGATCAAACCCTGGGCATCGCCCACCAGCTGTGTGGCTTTAGAGATGTTACTTAATAGCTCTGAGGCAGCTTCTTCAACTACAAAATGGGATTATATAGAGTGCATATCTCCTGGAATGGTTTGAAGATTTGCATGAGATGTTGCAAGTAAGCATATAGCACAGCTACTGGCAGACAGGAAGCACTCAGTAAATGTCAACTCATCCTGCTCCAGAGCCTCGCCCCCTCCCTCTGCATTGCACTGTCAGAAGCAGTGGCAGAAGCAGTAGAAGACCAGCCAGTGGTTGCTGTTTGCTGTCCTTTTAAGAAAAAGGTCACTTCATTCACTGTCAGGTAATGAGCCCTAGAGGTAGAGGCTGCCCAATGGTAGTGTCTTTTTTCTTGAGAAGTATATCAAACGCATTGATAAGAAAAAGCCAGGACCGTCTCAGAAGTGTTGCTTGTGCCTGAATTCATTCTTCAATCTTTGGGAATGTACTAACTCTTGTATCACACGTATTCTGGAACAGAAATCAAGAGCTTGTTTTCAATATATCCTCTGTCTCATCCTCTCTCTCTCTTTCACACACACACACACACACACACACACACACACACACATCTCTTTTGCCTTTGAAACAATCTCACTTTGACCTCAAAAGCCAGTGTTTTGAAACCAGTGTTTTCAAAGTGTAGTTGCAGGATCAACAGAAGCAGCATATCCTGAGACTGTGTTAGAAATGTGAATTCTCAAGCCCTACACTGGACCTCTTGAATCAAGTTCTGCGAGTTGGGTCCAGCTTGTAGTTAACAAGCCCTTCAAGTGACTCTGAGGCTCACTCAAGTTTGAGACTTATCACCTTAGAGAAAGGTAAAAGAGGATCCTGGCTTGCCACTTATGGGATTGAAGGTGAGGGGAGGCCAATGGGGTCAATCCTCACCCAGCCCCCAACAGTGGCATCAAAGGTCCTACCTTAGCTAATCCATTTTCCTTCCATCTCCCATACCCTGGGCTACCTTGGAGAGCTCATGACAACGACAGACATCTGTAATTCTGAAGGTAGTTTCAAGCAAAAGGCTGGCTAGTCCTAACCTGAGCCAAGAATTATTCAACCCCAAACCTAAAGCCAGAAAAAGATCTTTAAAACCAATCTTCTGTTGTCTTTGTTTCCAAATCATCCCACCCTTCAGATGTCTACTAAAACAATTAATGCTTCCATATTTGTTTCTACTCCAAGAAACAGGTTTTAACAGCAATCTAAACTGCCAATGCCAACAGAGATTGGGCTGCCAACCTGAATAGATGAAAATACCTGGTCTGGCGAGTTGTTGGGAGTGGTGAGGCCTGTGGGAAAAAGAGGACATGACAATTTACAAGAAGCAACTGAGCATCATCCCAGCTGTGGCCTTGTAGGGTATGAGTCTAACAGGGCCAGATTTCATATTTGAGGCAAAGACAGAAATCAAATGTTTGCATCGCCCTCCAATGCAAATGTTAGCTCAATTGTTTTTCAAACATTGTGCTGGTCACACAGCAGCAGACTTGGCTACAGGCTGTTTGTGACCTCTGCTTTGCAGAAATACAGAACTCTTCTTTTTAAAAGAGCAGTTCAGGGATTTTTTTTTTTACTATAATTAACTTAGGATCTTGTTTTGTTTCATTTTTTGAGGCAGTGTCTCACTCTGTTGTTCAGGCTGGAGTGCAGTGGTGTGATCTCGGCTCACTGCAACCTCCACCTCCCAGGTACAAGTGATTCTCCCACCTCAGCCCCCCATTAGCTGGGACCACAGGCACACATCACCATGCCCAGCTAATTATTTTGTATTTTTAGTAGAGATGGGGTTTCACCATGTTGCCCAGGTTTGTCTCGAACCCCTGAACTCAAGCAATCTGTCCATCTCAGCCTCCCAAAATGCCGGGATTACAGGCATGAGCCACCGCACCAGGCCAGTTTTTTTATTTATGTATTTATTTTGTGACAGAGTCTTACTCTGTCACCCAGGCTGGAATGCAGTGGCACAATCACAGCCCACTGCAGCCTTGATATCATGGGCTGAAACAATCCTCCTGCTTCAGCCTGCCAAGTAGCTGGGACTATAGGCGCATGCAAGCACACCCAGGTAATTCTTTGATTTTTTCGCAGAGATGAGGTCTTACTATATTGGCCAAGCTGGTCTCAAACTCCTGGGCTAAAACGGTCCTCCCACCTTGATCTCCCAAAGTGCTGGGATTACAGGCGTGAGCCACCGCACCCAGCCTACTTTGTTACTATTTGCCTTGTAATTATGGACTGCACCTTTTATTAAATGAGGTTTCAAATCTCTAAGACCAACAAATGCTCTAGACAGCACAAGTGAACCAGCACTAACCACTTACCTTTCCCTTCCTAAAAACCTAATACAGCTTCAAATTAGAAGGGAAACACTAATAGAAGGGAAGATGAGACAATGACTACTGTTTTTACATTCATCCCTGGATTAGAGTGTCTCCTCCAAGGACCCTCTTTGAGTAAACAGTGACATCCACTGGTTAAAAATCAGATCCTGCAACATGTTCACTCAAGAAAAGAAACAGGTTAGCAAGATATCTTTGATCTAGGCTGGGGATTCTCAGTTACCAACAGACAGCAAAGAGAAATTAATCCAGAGTCAAGACAAAGCAGATCTTGAGAGAACAGAGATGTTAATAAGAACAAGGAGGAAATGTGATCCCCAGTACACGCCAGGCTGCTTTGGGAATTACAGGAGTCTCCTCACTATGCTCGAATCAGCTGCCAGACACCAGAGCCAGAAGGGACCTGTGGTTCTGCACCATCTAGTATGGGACCCTGACCCCTCATGATTACTGAGTTCTTAGGTTATGGCCAGTCTGAATGGCAATGTGCTATAAGCATGAGCTACACACTGATTTTGAAGGATTATTAATGAAAAAAATACAAACTATCTCATTGATAACTTTTATATTTATGACACGCTGAAATAATATTTTGGATTATGTTGGGTTAAATAAAATATACTATAAAATTAATTTTACCAAGTTGAATTTTTTTTTACTTTTTTATTATAAGTACTAGCACCGTTATATCTCATCTAGCCTCATTGTTCTCAGCCCTGCTGAGGATCAGAATCTCCTGAGCTTGTAAAATATACATATGTGGGGGCCCCACCCTCACAGGTACTGATTCAAGTGGTGGAGGGATGTAATTGACAGAAAAACCATGAACTGTATTCTTCTTCGGTTTCCTTTCTCTACATCTAAGCTCTCCTTGATCCCCCTGAATGTTATTGATCTGTAGTTCTCCTTAAGCACCACTTTCATCTTGCACTTCCCCATTCACAAATATATAATGCCTTCATTCACTTAACAGTCGTTAGGCACCTACCATGCACTTCAGGCCCTGGAGATGCAGGATGAAGAAGACAGATAATATTCCTCTGTCTTGGAGCTTACATTTGGGGTGGAGTGGAAGAGATCAATCAAATCAGTCAATCAAGAAAAATATTAGCAGAGAACTAGAAAAGAGAGATATGAGAAGGAGAGACTGCATGGCCACTTTAGGCTAGGTGGCTTTGGATGGCTGCTCTGGGGCAGTTCAACTGAGGTCTGAGCAATGCCAGCTGTGAGGTCAAGAGAAGGAGCATTGCAGGCAGGGTAAACCCAATACAGAGGCTGACAGTGGTAAGTTGGCTGGTGCATTTGAACAGCCAAAAGAAGGCCATGGTGGCTATAGCAAGGCAAGTTTAACCAGGATTGGAGGGGTGAGAGAGCAGAATGGGGGCTGGGGCTTTACTAAGGAAGTAATTATTAAGGAGGTGTTATGGTCTGAATGTTTGTGTTCCCCACAAGGTTCCTATGTTGAAAGCTTCACCTCCTTAGAAGGTAAGAGCTTTGGGAGGTAGTTAGATCATGAGGATGGAGCCCTCATGAATGGGATTGGTGCGCTTATAAAAGGGACCCCAGAGAGCTCTCTCACCCTCTTTCTGCCATGTGAGGATACAATGAGAAGTCAGCAGTCTGCAACCCAGAAAAGCGCCTTCACCAGAATTGACCATGCTGGCAGCCTGATCTTCCCAGCCTCCAGAACTGTTAGAAATAAATGTATGTTTTTTATAAGCCACCCAGTCTATGGTGTTTTTTTACAGCAGCCTGAACCACTTAAAACAGGCAGAATCAAGGATTCAAAGCCTGAACTAGAACAAGGTGAAGCAGGAGCGGGAAAAGGAACATGCCAAACAGAGGCAAGGATTCTGTACAAAGCCTCTGCGGCAGCAAGAAGGATGCCCAAAGGCCTGGAGACAGGCCCATATGCCTGGAACACAGTGGGGAATGGGGTCAAGGTCAGAGCCACAGACACAAGTCTCTGGTATGTAGGAAATCTCTGTATCTTCCTCTCAATTTTGCTGAGCCTAAAACTGTTCTAAAAAAAGTAAAGTCTTTTAAAAAATTGAGGAACTCCCCCTCACAAGAAGAAAATTAAGTTGTTAGATGAGATATATCAGGGCCCCCGTCCTTACTGTTTTCTCTGGCTGGGATAATCTACCCTTGGACTTGGGTGTGATTAATGCCTTCATATTCATCAGTTTTTGCACAATTGGCCTTTCTAGGCCACTCTATATAAGACAGCACCCCGTCACTATCTAGCCCCAGCTTTATTTCCTTCATAGCACTTCAAATTACATATATTATTGTCGTGCGTGTGTGTGTGTGTGTATGTGTGTGTGTGTTTCATAAACAAGAAATGTACCTGTTAATCAATACATGGCCAGCATCTTGTTTATAATACCTAGGACACAGTAAGTATTCAGTAGATATTTGCTGAATGAAAAAAGAAAACATCGCTTGTCTGTAATGTGGAGGGGAGTAAATGGAGTAGGACCACAGTGGAGAAAGGCAGATGGCCAGAAGACTATCACAAATGGTCCAGGTGAGAAACAATGGTTTGGAGTAAGGTGATAGAGAGGGAGAGCTCAAGATAAGGGAAGCTGGTGATATACAGTGGGTAGGGATAAGAGGAATGTATCAAGGATAATTCTCAGGATATAGGGTGGTGAGGTTCATTGAGTTGGAGAACACTGGAAGAGGACCAATTCTAAAGAGGAAAGCCTCACATTTGATTTTGAAAGAGTTGATCTTCAGATACTTTTGAGAAAGCCAAAGGAAAATATTTAGAAGGCTAGTGGATTCTGAAGTATTTACAGACAAAATAGTGTGATGATTTGGATCATCTTCAAATTATACCAACCAGGCAGAGGATGAGGAGGAGCAGGGAGATAGAAGAAACAAAATAGCACAAAGTCAAGAGTAGCTGAAACTAGATTCTAATTATTAGTGGTTCATTAACTTGTTCTATTTTGATATGTGCTTAAAATTTTCCAGAGGGGAAAAAAATGCTTTAAAGGATACAGGGGTATACATGACTGGAGCAAAGGGGGAAAAGCTCAGACTAGACATATAAATTTGGATGATACATATTTAAAGGTGGTCATTAAAGCCATGGACATGGATAAAATCTCCCAGGCAAAAAGAATAGAGTAAATATCTAGGAGGCATCGGACCTCGTCTTGTAGAAATCTATCATGTAATGACTGAGCAGAGGCAAATGCACCTGCAGAAGAGACTGGATGGAGTAGCCAAGAGAAAAAAACCTAGTCGAATGGGTGTGACTCCACAGACAGGTTCAACCGATGCCACAGAGGAGGAAGCTCTATTTTTTAGCTTATATGGTAGCCAGAGAGTATCACATTCTTTGAGCATCTGACAGGGCGCCAAGTGGAAGGGGCCTGGCTGATTCTTGTGGTCCCAAGCAGGGCAAGATGGGTTAGTGCAGAAGTCTTGGGTAGGCAGATTTCCCCTCAGTGTGCAAAGGGGGTGCTCTGAGAGGCCTTCATTTGTTTAAAAAAAATGTGCTTGGTGTAATGCACTGTATCAGGCATCAGAGAGGCATTAGAATTTCTCTCGAAAAACAGGGAGTTTGTAAATAGAGCCTGGGAATGAATCAGGATAAATAAAACAATGAGCATGAAACAGGGGGCTGATGGTGTGGGCACCTCTTCTATCTCCCTCAAGCTGCTATTCACATTCTTCCTGTGTCATCATTGTTCTTGAAAGTACTTTCTTCTCTGCTGGAGTTTAACTTATTTTCCTTTGTTTTTCCCTTTCACAACCCCTGGCACATTAGACTGGAAAATGTCCATTGACTGCAGAATGAGCAAAGCCCCCGTGCCGTATCTTGGCCAGCTCTCATGCTTGGTGGATGCTGCCCTTCCTGGACATACTTCCTCCTCTGCACAGGGCTGGGGAGACTCAGAAGCCAGACCACCCAGGTGTGAATCTTGGCTCCCTCTCTTACTAGCAGAGGGACCTAATCTAGCAAGTCATCTTATCTCTGTGTGCCTCTAGCTCCACCAGCAGTAAGCTGAGGGAATGAGGCTGGACAGAGTGGCTCTTGCCTGTAATCCCAACATTATAAGAGGCCAAGGCAGGAGGATCACTTGAGGCCAGGAGTTGGAGACCTGCCTGGGCAACATGGTGAGATGCCATCTCTACAAAAAAAAAAAAAAAAAATTTAGATTAGCTAGGTCTAGTGGTGAGCACCTGTAATTCCAGCTCAGGAGGCTGAGGCAGGAGGTTTGCTTGAGCCCAGGAGGTCAAGGCTGCAGTGAGCTGTGATCAGGCTTCAGTGAGCTATGATTACACCACTGCACTCCAGCCTGGGTAACAGAGCAAGACCCTGTATGAATGAAGATGATGGAATAACAGTCACTATTTGAGAGGTTTGTGAGGATTCAAGGAGCCACCATGGGAAAAGCAGTTAGAGCAGTGCCTGGAAAATAACAAGCTCTGAGTAAAGATTAGCTCTTATTATTCTCTACCCATCCCAAATAAATGCTCCTCTTCCTCACCCCACCTCAAGTCCAGCTCCACGTTCTATGACCTTACTCATGGGTTTTGTCTAAAACCTCAAGTGCCCTTGCCACAGTCCCCTGGCAGACATCCAGGCATCTTTCAAATCCCAGCCCCCAGCTCCAAGCTCCCAGCCCCAACCTCACAGTGTGGGTGTTTAGATCATTCTTCTCTAGACCAGAAACCCCTGAGGTCAGAGATGGGGTCTCACCTCTTCATGCAACTTATACCTGATGCAGATCAGGCACATGGGAGACATCTGGCAAAGGTTTCATAAGGACATGAATACCGAACTTGGAATCGCACGAAGCAATGTTTGAGTCCAGGCTCTGCTATGAAGTTTGCAGACAAATTCTCTGTGCTTTGGACCTCAGTTTGTAATCTGAAAAATGTTGCTTGCAATGTCTGCCTTATAATGTTGCCGTGATAATTGAAATACCGAAGAGAACATAAGGTACAATTCCTATTACGTCCGCATCCCCTTCAAGATTCAGGTGTCCTGTAAAAGCCTTCACCACGCCCTTGGCCCTCCCTCACTAACCTGTGAGCCCTTCTCTTTCTTAGCCTGTTTTCAGCTTCTTTTGTTAAGAGTCCAGCTCCTCCACCTGGCTGTGAAGGCACTGAGACCTGGAATTTTCCTTCTGTCTCTTCTAATAAATGCAGGTGCAGCTTCCTTTAATGGGCTGTCAGTGGACAGTAAGAATCTGGACTGTACAATTAAATGAAATAAATGCCTGGCCATCTCTGCTCACAGCTGTGAAGCTCAGGAAACCCTTATGTCCTGAAAAACTGAGGTTTTATTTAGCATCTGTATATTAAAATTACAGCCCACTCCTTTTGGAGATGGCATTGTTCCTGTGCTCTTAGCATTATTTTTCCCTTAAACTTGGTAGTTCACACAGATGGGTAAAACGGCAGAGGGTGAGAGAGGATGAAGGCTGCTGCTCTTTAGAAAAATAATTAACCTGCAAATTAAATAAAGACATACCTGAGACTGGGTATTTTATAAAGGAAAGAGGTTTGCAAATGTTTGCTGGTGCAGAAGGAGAATCTTTCATGCTGAACCTCAGCATCCAAGCCCCTGTAGTACCTGGGCCTCCTTCCTCTCACTGCCTTCCGCAACTCAGCCCACACAGCTCTTAGCTGAGCCCCTGAGAGGTGAGGCCCTATGGAAGCCAGGCCCCAGCCATCTGGATATCTACAGGGCTAGTGTAAGGTTGGGGGAAGCCCAAACAAAGCACCAATCCAGGGTCCTAGAACGCCACCTGGGCCCCCTGTGTTGCATGTCAATACAAATCCACCCTTGCTAGAGGACCTGAAGTTCATCTTAATCCAGGCCAGAATGCATTGTAAGTGGCCCTGTTTATTCCATAAACAAAGCCTGGTGTACAAATGAAAGTCCTGGGCTTCCTTGATTGGAGCATCTCTCAAATGTCCTATAGGAGGCTGGTTAGTTTTCTTCTGGTCATGCTAGCTCAGGAGGAACTGGTACTAGCTTTAGCTTATGGTTTTACTTTCCAGGCTAAGAAATAGAATATTTGCCACAGCGGGTGGGCTCTGCTTCCTGGAGGATGATCATTAGTATTAACTTATTTGTTTAACCAGTGTTTTCTGAGCACCAACTATGTGCTGGCTAGGAGGAGAAGTGTATTAGTCCATTCTCACACTGCTATTAAAGACATACCTGAGACTGGGTATTTTATAAAGGAAGGAGGTTTAATTGACTCACAATTCAGCACTGCTGGAGAGACCTCAGGAAACTTACAATCATGGTGGAAGGGGAAGAAAACATGTCCTTCACATGGCAGCAGCAAAGAGAAATGCTGAGCAAAGTAGGGGGAAAGTCCCTTATAGAACCATCAGAACTCATGAGAACTCACTCACTATCACAAGAACAGCATGGAGGTAACTGCCCCCATGATTCAAATACCTCCCACTGACTCCCTCCCATGATATGTGGGGATTATGAGTACTACAACTCAAAATGAGATTTGGGTAGGGACACAGCCAAACCATATCAAGAGGCAATTAATGACGTCAGAACTGTTGGGGTTTCTGTGATGAATGACTGAGACACAGGGAGACAAAACAATACATAAACAGAAGGGGGCAACTTACTGTGGTCAATGATGAGCCCTGTTAACAACCCAGGGAGCCAAAGCCAAGGGAGTTGAAGCCCACAGTGGGCTCTTTGAGACACAGAGCGGGCCTAAGTTCCTATGCCTCCCACGTGCACCGGCTGTGACACTGAGTGGGCCCCTGACCCTTTTGAGTCTGAGGTCCTTCATCCACACAGTGGAGGTGATAATCTGGTAAACATTAGCTTCCTTGTCCTTAAGGTAGCAAATCAGAGCACTGGAGAAATGGTGGGCTTTGGAAGCAGAAAGAATGGATGTGAGTTCACCAGTGTGTGTTGACTTGCTGTGGGAGGTTGGGAAAGTTACTTACCATCTCTGAGACTCATCCCCTCATCTCTTTACTGAAGATGATAATGCCTGCCTCACGGGGTGGTGAGGGACAATGAGTTGCTGCATGGGAAACCCTGGAAAGCCCTGAACAGTCACTCAGTCCCAACCCTTTGGTCCATGAGACACTCCAACTTTTCAGGGAAGAGAGCACGTCCAGATTTGCTCACAAGCATATCTTTGGTGCTTGGCCCTAAGGCACCCAACACATGGGAAGTAATAAAAATTTTTGTTGAAGGAACGAACCTCCTAATTTTACAATAGGGAAACAAAGGTATTAAAGTAACTTAACAACCTTGGGTCTTTTCAAGGGCAATTTTGCTCAAAGTCAAAAAACAAGTTGGTGACCAAATGTGGGAATCTTCCCAGTGCACCATGGAAGAGGAGACAGCAAGAGGCAGAGTGCACTCCCCAGAGACCCCAGAACAGAGGTATAAATGTTCGTTCTACCTGAGGCCTATGCTGGAAAAAAATTACACAAGCCCCTTGGAGCTGAGAACATTTTTACAGTTTGGTCGGAGAAAAGTACTTCAGGGTTTGTAACTAAACAGGAGGAGGACCTGGAACGCTGTGATTCTGTGGCTCCCTTAAGCTCTCCTGGCAAGATTCAGGGCAATCTGCTAAACTACAGCAGCTGAATTTTCACGTCCACATCATGTTTTGATAAATGCAACATGGGAGCAGAGCTGAACTTGTTTAGATGAACTGGAAGAATGATGAGGCAGAACCTCAGGATATTATGGCCTTTCTGAGCTTTATTACACATGACACTATCTCATCTTCTACATGCTTAGAAAACCGTAGAAATCATCCTTTTTATCACTGAGCCAGTGACAGTAACACTTAGGAGATGCTGTCATGCTTTGGGGTAGAAAATCTATCTCCAGGCAGTGATAGGGTATGCCGCCGTGCATCGAGAGCTAGCCAGAACCACTTGGTAAAGCAGTCTCCAGAGCCGGGCCACTAGTGGCCAGGGGCCCATTGACCAATCAATCTGTGGGTTATTCAAGGCCCTCAGTCAGCCAGTGATTCCTGATATACCACCTTCTGGATTTGATTCATTTTACATTCCACTTCCTTTTACTAAGCACGTGGTATTGGGTACATAATATAATCCCTCTGAGCCCCACTTCCTCAACTATGAGAGAAGCAAGACAAGGACCCACTACATTTACTTCTTGTGAACACTAAATTAAATAATGCATGCAAAACTTTGAGTAAAGTGCACAGTGCATAGGAGGTTTTCCAGAAATGGTTGTTGATGCTGCTGCTGTCACTTATTTTTTTTTTTTTTTTTGAGACGGAATCTTGCTGTGTCGCCCAGGCTGGAGTGCAATGGCACGATCTTGGCTCACTGCAACCTCCACCTCCTGGGTTCAAGCAATTCTCCTGCCTCAGCCCCCTGAGCAGCTGGGATTACAGGTGTGCGCCACCATGCCTGGCTCATGCCTGTAATCCTAGCACTTTGGGAGGCTGAGGTGGATTGTTGCCTTTTTCATGTACATTAGCTCATCTGCCAGTGGATCTCACAGAAATTTAACTTCAGAACACAAATTAGATGATATCTTCACGTTTATTATGTGAAGTGTTTTTAAAAAAGTGTTTGTACATGTACAGACATTTGTTTGAGAAACTGGGTTGTGAACTACCTGCTAATTTGGGTCAAGCCCTCATGGCCTTCTAGAACGGAGAAGAGCAGACAGATGGCCAAGTCATGGCCATCTCACATATCGCTGGGTCCTTCTGTGATCCAGTTACTAGTGATCTAGGTATACCATTAATTCACATTTTGCCCAAATCCCTTTTATGCAAGTGCTTGATGCTCCTCCTGTCACCTCTGTGGTAGTTTTCAATATCTAAAAGCAGGGCATCTATCCTAGGTTCCATCATGTTAGATTTAGTCCCTCACTCCAGCCTGCCCCAAATCTGTGGGTGTTTGATTCTACCATTCAAAAGATTCACTATTTCTCTTTCTACTACACCTACCTCCTTTATCTAAGTTATTGATAATGTTGATAGGAAAATAAATGTGTTGGATAGAGTAGGAAAGAGGAACAGTAGCATTTGTAGAAAGTCAACTATACCTAGCTAGATGTGATGGCCCACGCCTATAACCCCAGTTACTCGGAGGCCGAAGCAGGATAATCACTTGAACCCAGGAGGTAGAGGTTGTGGGCAGTCAAGATCGTGCCACTGCACTCCAGCCTGGGCTACAAAGAGAGACTCTGTCACAAAAAAAAAAAAAAAAAAAGAAAGAAAGAAAGAAAAAGAAAGCCAAATATACCCAGTCCTTTAAGTTTATTAGTAAGCAGTGGGGTTTAAGCTCTTAAAATCATGTGTTCTGGGGTCAGACTCCCTGGAAGCAGTACTCTCTGTGTGAGCTCAGGCAAATATCTCTGCCTCTCTGAGCCTTAATTTGCCCAACTATAAAATGGAAGGGATGATGACAAGATAAACCTCAGGGGATTTGCTGGGGCCATTACTTGAGCTAATACATGTTCCTGATGTATGAACTCCAAGTTCTTCAGTCAGCGTTCTCTGGAGGGACAGCACTAATGGAATAGATATATATGTAAAGGGGAGTTTATTAAGTATTAACTCACATGATCACAAGGTCCCACAATAGGGCATCTGGAGGCTGAGGAGAAAGGAGAGCCAGCCCGAGCTCCAAAACTGAAGAACTTGGAGTCCGACATTCGAAGACAGGAAACATCCAGCACAGGAGAAAGATGTAGTCTGGGAGGCTAGGCCAGTCTCTCTTTTCACATTTTTCTGCCTGCTTCTATTCTATCTCCACTGGCTGCTGATTAGATTGTGCCCACCCAGATTAAGGGTGGGTCTGCCTTTCCCAGACCACTGACTCAAATGCTAATCTCCTTTGGCAACACCCTCACAGACACACCCAGGATCAATACCTTGTATCCTTCAATCCAATGGAGTTGACACTCAGTATTGACCATCACAGGTCCATGCCTTGTCGACTTGAACCTGTACACATCTCCTGAGATCATACATAACCTTCAAATAAAGACAATAATAAGGTGATAATTATACCTAACGTAATACAACTATCCTTCATACAACCAGAAACGCGCCAATCCCCAACCCAAATACTATTACATAAAGTTAACAATACTTAAATGCTGATGTAAAGTCAATAAATCTTATGTCACATAATAAAGGGAAAAGAAAGGAAATAAAATGAAGATATTTTCTTAGTACAGGTGTATACATGCACAAGCATGTTTTTAACAAAAGAAGGAGGAAATACTCATGACAATTATAGTCCTTGTTTCTGCAGGTGGTCACGTGGTCATAGCTGGTATTGATGACTACCTTCTTCTACTACCCATTCTGTATTCCCTTTACCTTCAGCAAGCACCTCAGCAGGTCATGGTTTTTTTCCTGGTGGAGTGACCCAAACCTTCATTTCTGAAGGGTCTGGGTCATTTGTAGTACTGCCTGGATTGGACTGTTGTAGTTTCCCATTGACCTTAATTACAGGGTACGGTAATACTAAGAGACGCCCTAATGGATCTCCCGTATTAAATACATAATCTTCCTTACCTCTGTTGTGGAGTAGTAAACTGATTTCATCTTGACAATCTGGGTCAATCACCCCAGCCAGCACTGTAACCCCTTTCTTAGCCTATTGACTTAAAGGTAGCAGGAGCCCAAAGTTTCCAGGTGGGAAACTTAACTTCCAGTTTAATGGAATTGTTGTTGTGTCTCCTGGTGGCAGTGTTCCTTCCTCTGGAATTAAGACCTCTAGGCCAGCAGCATGTAATGTTGCAGGAACAGGAAGCAAAAATTTTGCTAGTGGGTCACTAGGGGTGACAGTGAGTGGTACCACTTCCACTTCTGCCCTTGATTCCTAGACCCGTGGATCCTGGCTATGCAAGAAACAGTACCATATATTGGACGATGATTCAGAGCATACACGGCTTTCTGGAGAACTTTGCTCCAGCCCTGCAAAGTATTATCATGTAGGTGGCATTGTAATTATAACTTCAAAAGGCCATTCCACCATTCTATCAATCCAGCTGCTTCAGGATGATGGGGAACTTGGTAAGACCAATGAATTCCATGAGCATGAGCCCACTGCCACACTTCTTTAGCCACAAAGTGAGTGCCTTGGTCAGAGGCAATGCTGTGTGGAATACCATGATGGTGAATAAGGCATTCTGTGAATCCATGGATGGTAGTCGTGACAGAAGCATTGCATGCAGGATAGGCAAACCCATATCCAGAGAAAGTGTCTATTCCAGTGAGGAAAAACCTCTGCCCTTTCCATGATGGAAGAGGTCCAATGTAATCAACCTGCCACCAGGTAGCTGGCTGATCACCATGAGGAATGGTGCCATATTGAGGGCTCAGTATTAGTCTCTACTGCTGGCAAATTGGGCACTCAGCAGTGGCCATAGCCAGGTCAGCCTTGGTGAGTGGAAGTCCCTGTTGCTGAGCCCATGTGTAACCTCCATCCCTGCCACCATGGCCACTTTGTTCATGAGCCCATTGGACGATGGCAGGGGTGGCTGGGGAAAGAAGCTGAGTGGTGTCCACAGCACAGGTCATCTTATCCACTTGATTATTAAAATCTTCCTCTGCTGAGGTCACCCGTTGATGAGCACTCACGTGGGATACAAATATCTTCCCAGTTTTTGACCATTCAGAGAGGTCCATCCACATACCTCTTCCCCAAATTTCCTTGTCACCAATTTTCCAATCATGCTTCTTCCAAGACCCTGACCATCCAGCCAAACCATTGGCTACAGCCCATGAATCAGTATATAATCGCACATCTGACCATTTCTCCTTCCATACAAAGTGCGCAACCAGGTGCACTGCTCGCAGTTCTGCCCACTGGGAAGATTTCCCTTCACTGCTGTCCTTCAGGGATGTCCTAGAACGGGGCTGTAGTGCTACAGCTGTCCACTTTGGGGTGGTGCCTGCATATGGTGCAGAACCACCTGTGAACCAGTCCCTAGTATTCTCTTCCTCTATCAGCTGATCATAGAGAACTCCCCATGAAGCCGTCAGTGCAGGCTGGGGGAGAAAAAGCAGGGCAACAGGAGTGGAGGCCATGGGCATTTGAGCCACTGCCTCATGTAACTTGTGCCTTCAGGACCTGCTCAAGCCCGATCACGTATATACCGCTTCCATTTGATGATGGAATGCTGCTAGGCATGAACCACCTTACGGCTAGATGGGTCAGAAAGCAGCCAGTTCATGATAGGCAATTCAGGTTGCATGGTGACTTGATGGCCCATAGTCAAATGTTCAGTTTCCACCAAAGCCCAGTAACAGGCCAAGGGCTGTCTCTTAAAAGGAGAGTAGTTATCTGCAGAAGATGGCAGGGCCTTGCTCCAAAATCCTAGTGGCCTCTGCTGTGATACACCTATGGGTCCCGCCAAAGGCTCCAAACAGCATCCGTATCTGCCACTGACACCACAAGCACCATTGGATCTGCTGGGTCATATGGCCCAAATGGCAGAGAAGCTTGCACAGCAGCCTGGACCTGTTGCAGAGCATTCTTCTGTTCTGGACCCCACTCAAAACTCGTAGCCTTTTGGGTCACTTGATAAGTGGACCAGAGTAACATACCCAAATGAGAAATGTGTTGCCTCCAAAATCCAATAGGCCCACTAGGCATTGTGCCTCTTTCTTGGTTGTAGGAGGGGCCAAATGCAGCCACTTATCCTTCACCTTAGAAGAAACATTTTGTCAGGCCCCATACCACTGGACCCCTAAAAATTTTACTAAGGTAGAAGGCCCCTGAATTTTAGTCGGATTTATTTCCCTTCCTTTGGCACACAAATGTCTCACCAATAAGTCCAGTGTGTTTGCTACTTCTTGCTCACTGAATCCAATCGCATAATGTGATCAATGTAATGGACTAGTGTGATATCTTGTGGAAGCAAAAAGCGATCAAGATCTCGCCGAATAAGATTATGACACAAAGCCAGAGAGTTGATATATCCCTGAGGTAGGAAAGTAAAAGTACATTGCTGGCCTTGCCAGCTGAAGGCAAATTGCTTCTGGTGGGCCTTATGGACAGGAATGGAGAAAAAGGCATTTGCCAGTCAATGGCTGCATACCAGGTACCAGGAGATGTGTTAATTTGCTCAAGCAATGAAACCACATCTGGTACAGCAGCTACAACTGGAGTCACCACTTGGTTAAGCTTGCAATAATCCACTGTCATTTTCCAAGATCCATCTGTCTTCTGCACAGGCCAAATGGGAGAGATGAATGGGGATGTGGTGAGAATCACTGCTCCTGCATCTTTCAAGTCCTTGATAGTGGCACTAATCTCTGCAGTCCCTCCAGGGATGCAATATTGTTTTTGATTTACTATTTTTCTAGGTAGACACAGCTCTAATAGCTTCCATTTGGCCTTTCCACCATAGTAGCCCTCACCCTACCATTCAGGGAGCCAATGTGGGGGTTCTGCCAGCTGCTAAGTATGTCTATGCCAATTATTAATTCTGGCACTGGGGAAATGACCACAGGATGAGTCCAGGACCCACTGGACTTGCTGTAAGTTAGACCTAAGCTAAAATTCCATTAATTACCTGACCTCCATAAGCCCCCACTTTAACTGGAGGACCACAATAATGTTTTGGATCCTCTGGAATCAACGTCAGCTCAGGGCCAGTGTCAGTAGTCCCTGAAATGTCTGATCATTTCCCTTTCCCCAATGCACAGTTACCCTGGTAAAAAGCTGGAATTCTTCTTGGGGAAGGATAGGAGAAAGATTCACTCCCTAAATTGTCGGTAATATAGTGGGGTCCTTCCTTAAGGGGACCCAGCCTCCCCTTCATTCAAGGGGTCCTGGGTCTGTAAACAAGCTGGAAATTTACTGAGGGGTCATGATGCTCTGTTTTTGTACTTCAAATCAGTCTTTTGTCCATTCAACCTAGAAGTTTTCTGCTTATAGATATTAAGTAGGAATTTATTGATAAGAAGTAGGCTTTCTATCAATTTCATTTCTAGGAACACTGTGATTAATTCGCCAAAACCAGAGCTCTACATGAGTCAGACTATTCTGATTGCTGCTTTGCCTCTACTGTTCATTATGGTAGCTACGCCCACCTTGCCTTTGACGGTTGAGTGCTGCCACTTGACCCCTGCCACCTCGGGATCCAATTATTCCCATTGTATTTAAAGTTTGTGGTTGAGTGACTGGGGTTCCCACTGTTAGATCTGACATAGAGAGAAGAGCAACTGCAAGGCTCTTCAAAGATGCACAAATCTATTTCATGAGGCATTGGTCAAGGGTATATCTTCTGGACCCTCCCAGCTGGGATGAGTAGCTCTAAAGAGAGTAATCCACTCCACCATCCCAATCTCCTTAAGCCTTTGGATTCCTTCCTCTACATTAAACCAAGGGAGATCAGGCATTTCTAGCTCACTCAGAGTGGGCCATCTTTTAATTCATATTTCAGCTAACCAAACAAATAAACTATTAGAACCTTGTTTAACTCCCAAAGCTGAAATGATAAATGCAGAGTCCCTACTTAGTGGGCCCAAGTCAATAAATTCAGCCTGATTCAACTCTATGTTCCTTCCACCCTTATCCCACACCCTTAATATTCATTCCCATGCCTGTTCTCCAGATTTCTGTTTATATAAATTAGGAAACTCAAGTGGTTCTTTTTGAGTGTAACACACCTCCTCATGGGTCACACCCTCAACTTCACCTCTAGGGGTCTGCCAGGACTTTAGACTAGTTATAGGTCTAGAAGCAAACAGGGGTGTTTGGGGTGGCTCCTGAGGAGAATCAAATTATCTTGCCTGACAACTGCCCCAGGGGAGGCCATCACTGTTGCCTCAGACCGCGCAGGGTTTGTCTCCTCAGACAAAGGTGGAAAGGCTGATGGCAGCATGGGTCGGGGAGGGGATGTTGCCACTACTGGGGATGGGGAAGCTGTTTCTTCTGGCAAAAATGGTTCATCAGAGTTTACAAACTCAGTTTCCCCAGCTTCATCAGGGTCCTCCCACATATCCCCATTCCAAGTTGCAGGCTCCCATTTTTTTCTAATCAATACCCTCACTTTAACAGTAGACACCTGGTGAGGTTGTGCATGCATCTTTCGTTGCAGGTCAGCCATTCACATAAGAGCTTGTGCCTGTTTTTCCACAATTTCAGCTCTTTCTCCACAGGAGATAAAACTCTCACTCAGGGCAATCCCAGCAGATTTGAGGCTCAGTATCTGCTTCTGAAGCTAGCAGATAGAATCCCTGAGTTTATCATTTTTTTCATCACTTTGTCCACTGAACTTAGGAGCAACCAACCAGCTTAATTATGTTCCTTGACTCTCCAGATATAGTCAAAGGTATTATGTATAGGGTCACTAAACTCCTTGCCTCTCAAGAGCGACAAATCAGGAGCATCAAATGCGTTTATTTTGCATAACTCTCTACACAGTTCACTCCAAGAACTCTCAGTGTCCTCCATACTATTAGAAGTAGAGTCCTTAGCATTTTGGGGTGTAATCATTTGAAGCAGCCAACTCCAGAAATCCCAAAACCAATGAAATAACTCCATCCTTAATATTCTGTTCCTTTAGAACCACTCCTGTTACCAAAATCTGTATTAGTCAGGGTTCTCTAGAGGGACAGAACTAATGTAATGGATATAGATATATAGATATAGATATAGATATAGATATAGATATAGATATAGATATAGATATAGATATAGATATAGATATAGATAGATAAAGGAGGGGTTATTAAGTATTAACTCACACAATCACAAGGTCCCACAATAGGCTGTCGGCAGGCTGAGGAGCAAGGAGAGCCAGTCTGAGTTCCAAAACTGAAGAACTTGGAGTCCGATATTCAAGAGCAGGAAGCATCCAGCACAGGAGAAAGATGTAGTCTGGGAGGCTAGGCCAGTCTCTCTTTTCACACTTTTCTGCCTGCCTATATTCTAGCTGCACCAGCAGCTGATTAGATTGTGCCCACCCAGATTAAGGGTGGGTCTGCCTTTCCTAGCCCACTGACTCAAATATTAATCGCCTTTGACAACACCCTCACAGACATACCAAGGATCAATACTTTGTATCCTTCAATCCAATCAAGTTGACCCTCAGTATTAACCATAATAAATAGTGCTCAGTAAACATTACATTTTATTCTTCTATAACCTTTATGACAAGCCTATAGGTGTTATTATTCTTTCCACTTACCAATAAAGAAATTGAGGCTCAGGGTGTTTTGGTAACTTTCTAGCAATATTGATAGCAGAATATACCTGGACACCTATCCCAGAATGTATGTGCCCAGACTCATGAGTGCTGCTGCAACAGGCTGCCACCCAGGAGGTGCTCCAGGCACATTTTCTGATGGGTGTGTGCTGTTCTCTCATCCATGGTTCCAGCTATCACAATTCAGTCTCTTCTCTCTTGTACTACCAAGGGAGAGAAAGCAGAAGTAGATGTCAGGCAATAGGTAGTGGGGATAATGGCCCTAAGAGTCTATTCTTCTTCTGTTAATTTCCCTAGAAGCAGAAGCTCATATGACAAGGGTTGAGTCCTTAATCAGCAATTCCTAACTGAGAACCTGAGTGTGGGTTTGTTTTGTCCACATTCACAGCACGGCTTAGCAGACAGCAAAATATACTTGGCTTTAGATGGGAATAACCTTAGCAAGACAATTTCTACAGCACATACAAGTGCACATAAACATGCACATGCTCAGCTGAGAAGAAAACTAAAAATAGATATTCTTTGATGGTCCACTGAGTGACATCCTACCTAGCAAAGAATCTCTACCTCCAAGCACCTGCTCAGTCCAAACTTCAGACAAGCATTAGACTATTATCCTGGCCTCTAGGTATGAGAGGAATAAAGATTGATTCTATCAAGAGTCTGGGAAAGGGAGGGAAGGGAGCCAAAACATGGCACAGGCCTTTATAAAACCTATGGGAGATCACCAGCTCAAAATGGGATTCTTGAAGATTAAAACAAATAGTGTTCCTGTATGCAAAGCAGCCCCAGACAGCATGATGGATGAGGGCTACCTCCATCCCAGATCTGTGTGATTTCTTTCTGCTCTTCCTTACTGGGGGATTTAAGCCAACTCTGAGCTGGGTTTTCTGTGTGATGAGTGAAGCCTGGAAACCTTTCTTCCTATCCCAGGTGCCTGATCAGCCAGGGGCAGTTCTGAGTATTAGGTGTGGCAGCTTCTTGGAAGCAAAAAGAGAATAAGCTGATTGGTCCAGAGTTTGAACTTAGACCAGGGGTTGCCAAATTTGTCTGCACATTAGAATCACCTGGGAAGGCATGTAAACATTTGAAATTGACCCAGCCATATTTCAGGTTAAGTAAACTGCAATCTGTTAGGCAGGACACAAGCGCCAGGAGTTTCTAAGCTTCCCAGATGATTCCAATGTACAGACAAGCTTTGGGAACCACTGGTTTAGACACGTGGTTCTTTCCTGGCAAAGGCTGTACCCCTTAAAGGACATTTTGCAATGTCAGGAGACATTTTTGGTCATCACAAATGGGGGGTGGTGCTGCTGACATCTAGTGGGAAAAGGCCAGGAATGCTGCTAAACAACCACATAAGAAAGAATTATCTGGCCCAAAATGTCAATAGAGTCCAGGGTGAGAAACCTAGTTTAGACGCTTGCAACTCAAAGTGTGGTTCATGGACCAGCAGCTTGTTAGAAATACAGAACCTCTGGCCAGGCGCGGTGGCTCACACCTATAACCCCAGCACTTTGGGAGGCTGAGGCAGGTGGATCACTTAAGGCCAGGAGTTTGAGACCAGCCTGGGCAACGTGGTGAAACACCATCTCTACAATAAATACAAACATTAGCTTGGCCTGGTGGCAGGTGCCTGTAGTTTCAGCTACTCGGGAGGCTGAGGCACGAGAATTGCTTGAACCCAGGGGGCGGAGGTTGCAGTGAGCCAAGATCTTCCACCCTGGGCAACAGAGCAAGACTCTGTCTGTCTGTCTGTCTCTCTCTCTCTCTCTCTCTCAGATATATATATGATATATGTTTATGAGATATATACATATATACATATGAAAGAGAGAGAGAAAAATAGAAATACAGAACCTCAGACTCTACCCCAGACCTACTGGGTCACAATCTGCATCTGTACAGGATCCCCTGGTGATTGGTAGGCAGATTTTAGAAGCACTAGTTTAAACTAATTTAGGGCTGTTTTGTATAATGGGAGGTCCCTTCCATTTAAACTGCTAGGCTGGATTTCTCATCCATGGCAACCATTTCTTTCACATTCTAATTCTCCCCACAACTTCTCAAGCTTGTGTACAGGAACGGCCTCAGGCCTTCTTTTATTACACTGTATGCCTGCACACATATGTCTATGTTTATCACAGTCTCAGGCTTTAGAATCAGACAGATCAAGTTTGGATCCCAGCTCTGAATAGGATCATTTAAAATCTTAACCTCGCTGTGTCTTGATGGCCTAATCTGCAAATGGGGAAATGATGTGAAGACAAGGTAAACCATGCAAAATTAGTGATGGTGTCTGAGCAGTGTGAGTTGGAATCCCAACTTCACCAATTTATTAGATTTGATGTTGGGCAATTTATTTTCTTTCTTTGAACCTCAATTTTCTGATCTAAAAAAAATGCATAACCACACCGGATTGTGAAGAATATTATCCAGGTGATGGATTTTCAGAAGCTAACATGGAGTAGGAGCTCACATGCAGTCATTTGCTTGCTTCCTGAAATATGGCAGGAGCTCCATAAATGGGATAGTCTTTCATTCAAACCCCACACCAAAGTGCCATAAATCCCTTCTCTGTATCAGTCTTGGGGGACATACATTCACAGTCATAGGCTCCCCTTCATCCATTCTGGGGCCAACACAGAAGGAGGATGTTGTCATCTGCTGTCTTGTCTCATCATCTCTGTTAAGACTGTATCTTGAAGGTGGCTGACCTGCTTGCCTTCCACTGCAATCCCACTTGCAGCTGGGTGATGTGCACAGAAAGTCCTCAATAAATGTTTTCTGCTAGTGATTCGGGATTCAAAGCCCTACAACTATAAGAGGGGGAACTGGGACTCAAACTTGGTTCCTCCCATTCTGAAACCCAGGCTGGCTTCACGTCACCACACTACCTCTCCATGGCAGGTGTGCCTGTCCCCCATCTCTCTCCATACACACACACAATGCAGCAGTCAGTTAGCAACTGCCTGGTGGGGTTTACTGTAGAGACACGAAAGCTCACTGTTTCTCCTGAACTGGATTGTAAATGGTTCGAAGCACATCCCATGCTTTTTCCTTATTCTGTGTTCCTCAGGGACCTAAACACATGGCTGAGCACACAGCAGAAACTCAATAAATCTCTGTTATCTAATTGATTGGTGAGCCGGTTGATTGATTAGATCATGGTTGACTGAAGTAAATGCAGCATAGCATAAGAGATGCAGGTTGCAATTATGTAATCTCCAACTCTGTCTTTGGAAAACTCCTATAATTTCCTAAAGATTCTCCTACATTCAGGACAGATCTATTCACCCAGCCTTCACCAAGAACTCCCATACACTTTATAGAAATTAAACATTCTATAAAGCGAGGATGACGAGGCAGGCAAGGGGAGGCACTGAAGCCCCAAACCCACAAGGCTTCTTGAGTCCTATTGCCATGTGGAGAAACCCTGACAGGGCACTATGGAACAGTATCCAGGCTAAGCCTGGAAAAATGACAGAAGTGAGATGAGGAGGAACTGGGAAGAATGGGAGCCAAAAGGCACAAAGTCTGGAGCAAAGAGATCAACTGTGAGGTAGAGCAATGAAGAAAGCTCCCTTGATGGGTTTGCCAGAGGACATCACCCATTCAGACAAGTAGGCAAACACCTGACTCCAGGGACTGTATAGAACATCATTAACATGGACAGGAACCTAAGAGCCACACCAGGTGAGCCAGAACAAATTTGAGCAATCCCAGCCAGCCAGCAGTGCCGCTGGTGCAAGTGCCTTGGCTTTAACTCAGGAACCCCAGAGCAGGAGGAGGCTCCATTTCCAATAATAAAGCACAGATTGGAGCCACTGGACTTGAGCATAGAGATTTCAATTCTACTTTTTTGCCACAAACAAACTAAGCACCCACTATGCGGTTACTGTAGCAAAGCAGCCATGAAAAGAAACATAAGTGAGCATTGACTTTGCCCAGGTTAAAAGACTACATCCTAAATGGCCTATGTCTCAAAAGAAAAAGTGAGCCAGACCATCACTTCCCATCCGCAGCCTCTGCCTCCTGAAGGCTGGGCCCGGGGCTGGAGGTTTAGACAAGACATCTTCAATCACTCCATGGAATAAGGGTCTTCTGAGCCTTCAGCAGGGCTGGATCAGCCCAAATTCCTCACCCCTCTTGGAGGTCAGAGGACAACTGTTGTTTCACCAAGACAGAGCTGACAATACCTAAACCTCAGGCTGCAGGAAGAAATCAGCTGGAAAGCAAAGTGAAGAGCTAAAGAAGACTAAGGAGAGATAGGAGAGCAAAGGGTAAACCCAAACCCAAGCCCACAAAGCAGTGACAGGCTCCATGGCCTGAGAATCAGATAAGAAACAAAGGCTGGGTGTGGTGGCTCATGCCTGTAATCCCAGCACTTTGGGAGGCCGAGGCAGGTGGATCACCTGATGTCAGAAGTTCGAGACCAGCCTGGCCAACATGGTGAAACTCTGTCTCTACTAAAAACACAAAAATTAGCCAGGCATGGTGGTGGGCATCTGTAATCCCAGCTACTGAGGAGGCTAAGGCAGGAGAATCGCTTGAATCCAGGAGGCGGAAGTTGCAGTGAGCCAAGATCACGCCACTGCACTTCAGCCTGGGTGACAAGAATGAAACTCCATCTAAAAAGAAAAGAGAGAGAGAGAGAGAGAGAAAGTAAGGGAAGGTCCTATTTGAGGGATTTTCTCCAAAGATGAATTTCTTTTCTGGGCTGGTGTTTATCTGCCACCCATAAAGAAAGGCCATTCATGGAACCCAAACAGAAACAACAGCCCAGAGCCCAGATCTGTCTCTATGAAGCCTGGAGATATCGTACGGTGGGGGAGAAGAAAAAAGAAAAACCTGAGATTCCTATTTCTTACTCTTCTAAGAGCTGAGATTTGGATTTTTTTTTTTTTCAGACTGCCTTGAAGGTAATCCAAGGAGGGAAAGACCCTGCTTGGGAACTGTGGGAAGATGACCTGGATCTCATAGTATCACTCTCAGGAAGAAAAAGAAGAGACTGCACTGAAGAAATAATGGCATGCAATGTTATTTTTAAATTACTGGTGAGAAAAAAACAGGAACTGTAAGATGTCTGAATTCACACACACAAACACACTCACACACTCACACCTGTTCTCCAAAATGAAGCTCACTTGTGGTGAAGCCAAACAGTGCAGCAGCCTTCTTTAATCATATAGTGGAAGGAACCCCTTCTGTCACCATTGAAACTGTCAGAAGATACATTTTCACAAAGGCTGATAGGAATGAAGTGTGTCCTTCAACTATACGGGAGGAAGCAAATGAATTTTGACCACCTACCACTGGGAGCACCTTTTGGCAGGAGGCTCTGTATAATTTATCTGATGTAACCCTCAGAAGAGCGTCGTGAGACAGTGTTATTACCTCTCATTTACTAATAACAAAGTCGAGATTCATAGAGGTGTAATAAGTCTCGAGATCTCACAAGTAGTAGGTCAGCAATTTCACCAAATATTTGCAAGTTGACAATCTGATACTGATTTCTGCCCACTCCCCCAGCAAACACACCACCTCCCCCAAACCAGACCATCCTGAGAGGAATAATGGATAATGCATCCCCGCTAAAGGCAGACGGGTTTTAAATCAATCCACCAAGTGACCAATTAACATTCTCCCTTCCATAGCCAGCCACTGATTCCTGAAAGGGATGAGAAAATTCAGTGTCTTCTCAGATTACATTGATATTCATCCCAATTACCCTCCTCCTTCTCCATTCCAGCAGCACATAAATTACCAGCTCTGTTGTCAAATGCTGTATGTAATTGTGTTTAGCATAACATCCCAAGGGAATAGAAAAGCCATCCGCTCTGTGATGGGCTGAGGCACGCCAGGGTGCACTGGAATGAAAGTTGAAGCCTGGTATCCACCCCTCTCTTCCCACCTCCCACAGAACCTGGCAAGCTCAGGCAGGTCCAGGCCTGTCAGGAGCCACAAACAGGAAGAGAGGTCAGAGTGCGAGGTGAGTAAGCAATTCCCACGAAGAAACAGCAGTCCCTCTGCTTGTCAAACTGCATATCTAGGCAAAACAGGGATATATATTTTTTGATGCCCAAGGAACAGGTCCTTTCCAGGACTATATTAGTAAATCACTAGAAGGAAATAAAGGTTTTAAAGTAATTCCTATGAGCCAGGTCATGTAATATGTTCTCATTTAATTCCTGCTGCAGCCCTTGGGGAGGGTGATATTGGCCTTGCCCAGGGTGACACAACTGGTAAGTACAGGGCTGGCAATCTGTTTTCCCAAACTCCCTTTTCTGATCCACATTCTTCATCCCAACATCCCCTTCTGCCCTCCCAAGGATTTGCCTTACATCTAGTTCCCTCAGAACCTTTCTCTAGCTGACTACCCAGTTGGAAATCAACAAACCAAGAGGCAATCCTTGGAAAATCCCCCTAAATTAATACAAGTCTCTTGAAAGCCAAAAAGAAATCATCCTCATTATCACTGCCAATTAGAACAAAGTTTGGCTACCCATAAAATGAAGAAAAGAAAAAACTGTGACTTAACTTAAAGCTCTGGTAAAAGTGCTCCAATATGGATGATAGGCCCAGCCTTTTTTTATCTTCCTGTTCTGTCACTCTCAGAGTGTGGCTCATTCACAAAGTCATCTCCTGGTCCAAATGGCCTGCTGGAGCACTTGCCTTCACCTCAGAATGCCAGGCAACAGGGAGAAGAAATCAGGGAAGGACAAATGGGCTCTCCTCCTTTAAGAAGCCTTTCTAAATTTTCTACCCATCAACTTCAACTCACATTATGGTCAGAAATATTCACATGCTCACACCTAGCTACAAGGGAGCCTGGAAAGTGTTGTCTACACTGAGCACACTGTCACCCTCTCTTACACTGGAACTGTTTTCCTAAGGGAATAGACAAAATAAAGAGAATGGGTAGCAAACATCTGCCTCTGTCACAATGGCCATCACCCCCCTCCACCACCATCATCACCGCTTCTTACTCAGGACTTTCTATGCTTCACACCTTTGTTCAGTTGATCCCACAATAACCCTACAAAGGGAACCATGTCTCCCATTTTACAGGTTGGGAAATAGGGTGTGTTAGTTCATTTGAGTTGCCATAAAGGAATACCTGAGAATGGATAATCTATGAAGAAAAGAGATTTAAGTGGCTCATGATTCTGCAGGCAGTACAGAAAGCATAGCACTGACATCTGCTTCTGGTGAGGCCTCAGGAAACTTACAATCATGGCAGAAGGCAAAATGGGAGCCTGTGTATCACATGGTGAGAGTGGAAGCAAGAGAGATGCCAGGGTCTTTTAAACAACCAGCTCTCACATGAACTCACAGAGCGAGAACCCACTCATTACCATGGGGAGAACACCAAGCCGTTCATGAGGGGTCCACCTCAGTAACCCAAACACCTCCCACCAGGCCCCATCTCCAACATTGGGTATCACCTTTCAACATGAGATTTGGAGGGGACAAACGTCCAAGCCATATCACCAGGTTTCACAGAGGCTAAGTAACTTACCCAAGGTCACAGAACTGAGACGTGAGCCTGGAAGATAGACCTATTATTAATATTTGTCCTGATTCAAACTCCATGAAGTGCCCACTTGACATAAATGTCTAATGTGATATAAGTTAATTAAGAAGAATTTTGCTCTTTAAGTAGAAGGCAACTGTCTACCCAAATATCACATCACGAATCTCTCTGTCTGATTCCAAAGCCCGGGATTCTAACTACTGCACTACACTTTCACCCTCCTACGGTCATTTTATGTACTGAACAGTGATAGAGAAATTACAGCATCAGGGAATCCTCAAATCAGCCAAGTAAGAAGCTATCTTGTATGCTTGAGCAAAAACCAACTATAGCACCCTCGGAAATCTCACCCTAAAAAAAGTTTTATCCCGATTTTACTGAGAAGAAGGCCAGAAAGGCCAAGTCAGTGGCCACACATACACACACACACACACACACACCCTTAAGCCCTACCTCTCTCAATCGGGTGACAAGTATCATTCTACTGAACAAACACCCGGTTTTGCCCTTTTTACCCCTCTACTTATAGCTAAAGATTCATTTCTCTCCTTAGCTTATTCCTATTGTGTCTTAAAACCTTTTTCACAGCTTTTTTGCTTAGGAGTTTTTTTCCATGACTATTTCAAGAGAAAGGCTGACCTGGTTATAACCTCACTCCTTCGTCTGCACATCCTCAGGCCTAATTGGATCCCAAGTTCCCAAATGGGATAAGCAGGTCAGCAGCCAAGAAAAATATAGCTTTCCAGCTCCCACAAAAAGAGGTGAACATTGTTATTAGACCCATAAGCAAAATGTCAAACTATGGAAAGTCTTAGCCAATAGCATTATGGCCCTAGATAGCTTGGCCAGGAAGATCTCAGAGCTGCCTAGTATGGTTCCCTTAAATGTTCTACATCAGGATTATGTTAATATATTACGCCAATACTAATAGCAAATATACTGAAGATGCTATTTGTAGAACTGGACCAGACAGATAATTTCAACCATTTACCAGGCACCTCTTCCAGGCCTATCACTGGTCAAAACTGGGGATACAGGAGCAAGAAAGCCCAGATCCTGCCCTCAAGTAACTTGTAGTCTAGTGGGTGAGCCAGATACATGAATTCATCATTTCAGACCACAGGCTTAGAGCACTGCCTTCTGATGAGTTCAGTGCTTTCAAAACTCAGAAGAGGATCATCATCTCTCTCTCTCTAGGGCTACCCGAGGGGACTGCCTGGAGAAAGATGGACCTTGACTCCTGAGGTCATCCAGAGGTAGTGAGCCTCCCACAGAGAACCCAGCCTTCACTCCTGAGGCAATAATCAGGGCTTTGTCCCTGGCCCAGGAGCACATCCACCTCCACGTGCATTAGTACTTAGTGTTGAATTTTACCAAAGATTTCTTGGGGAGACTGAGGAAATATTGAATCACACACTAAAGAAAAAGCACAATTTTTAAATCCCTATGAGATATTTCTTTTCTTTGCTCAAGTTTTTGCTCAAGTTTTTCCCACCTACTTTACCTCTCCCCTGTTCCCCTACATTCAATCTCATCAACAACCCATGTCATCAGTTCCCAAACACAGCCCAAAAGTCCAACTCAGCAAAAACGAGTCCAACAAGATGGCAGAATAGGAGATGCCAGCTCTCATCCCCTCCACCAAGAAACACCCATTTTGGTAATCATCCATAGATAACCCAAAAGGGCAGGAGCCCTAGAGTCTAACTGAGAGGTTCTAGCACCTGGTGGAGAAAAAAAATTCCTAGAGTGGATGAATTAAAGAGGGTAAGAAAAACAGTCTCTCTTTATCTACTTTACCCTTTCCCCAAGGCAGCATAGACCTATGCTGAGATAGGTCCCCTGGGCCTGTGCTCTCTCTCATGAGGAAAAGTCAAAGTAAAAGGAATGCAGGACTCCCCAGTTTTATGGGACACAGTCCAGAAGGACCACTTCTGTCTTGCTTCACTCAGAACAATGAAGGGATAAGCACTGGTGAATCATCTGGAGCCAGCTAGGAGCAGGGGTGGCAGCAGACAGCAGTTGGCTTGCAGTTCTCAACAACCAGCCAAGGATCCTGCTGACCAGCTTACTGACTCCGGAAGGAGTCTTGCCCACAAACCCTGCAGAATAAACTGCTTACAGAGCTCCCCCACCAGCCAATGTGCACTCCCAAAACCTGACATGCTCCCACCATGGATGGCACATCCCTGTGCATGGAGTGCACAAGCTCCCACAGATAGCATGAGGATCTCAATAGCAGGGGAGGAGTGTAGAAGCCAGCTTGACTCTGCTGCTATGGGAGATGCTGCACAACACTGAACTCTTCAGGACACTGCCCTAGGGAAAATAAACAGGAGGCTCTCAGCACCTGGCCTGGCTTTGGAGGATCAAATTCTAAGACTTACCCGCTAGGAGGGGGCAAGAGGAGTGGAGTTGGACACAGCCTTAGAAAAGGTCTGAGAACCCCAGATACTCAGAGACATATCAGCATTCCAATGTTCATTGCACCATTATACATAAAAGCCAAGATGTGGAATCAATGTAAGTGTCCAGCAACAGATGAATGAATGAAGAAAATGTGGTATATATGTGGTATGCATACACAATGGAATACTATTCAGCCTTTAAAGAGAAGAAAACCCTGCCCTTTGTGACAACAGCGATGAACCTGAAGGATATTATGCTATAATATATATAATATGTGTTACATGTATAGAGAGAGGGAGAGAGATAATGAATTTAAAACAAATAAGCTTAAAAGAAGTATAATAAGACCTTGACTTAAGATAGAAGACAACAATGGTAGTTAAGGAAAACTGCCACTAAGTAAAAATGGATAGCTTCCCAACAGGCTGGCTAAAGACATACATGTGATGGTTTAGGAAAAGCAGACTTTCTCTAGGCTTTGAAATAAGCAAAAATACGCATTCCATGGGTGTGTTTCCTCATGGGAAACTTTAGGTTAAAGAGAAATAGGATGCTGAGAACTATATCTTAATAAATTATAAAATACTCCCCTTTTCTTCTCGTGTTCTCTTTCAATACAGTACTGAACCCCAAATTGCAACATAATTTTTTTCTTTGTTCTAGCTCTACATCCTCCTTAAAGAATTTTTTTGTATGTAAAAAGCTGAAAGCATACCCAAACTTAAATTGGTACTTCTCTCTCAGTTATATGTATTTGACGGAAGTGACAAGCTTCAGTTTGCCCACAGGTTCACATCTAACTCACAGATTGAAGTGTCACTGTGGGATCTTCCCACCACAGAATGCTAGATGGAGGTTAATAGATGTCACCACACAAAAAAAGAAAAAATTAAAGATTACTACTTCTCAGTCCTCATTAGCATGAAAACATAATTGTGTATTTTATGTTTTTCAGAGATGAGGGTCATGCCTGTTGGAGCACCTATTGGCTTGCAATCTTGTTGTCACCATCAGTCAAAAGGAAAGTATCAATTTATTTGAATGGCCTTTGTCAATGTTGGTCTGAGAACATGCTGCATGAAATAATAATAATTAGCATTAAATTAGTGATGAATGATGATAATAGTTACTGTCCATTGAGTGTCTTCTATTCTAAGTGCAAGTACTTTCCAAATAGTATGTTATTTAATTCCTACGACAATCCTACATATTATCCCCATTTCATTAATGAGAAGCTGAAGTTGATAGAGGTTAAGTAACTTGCCTAATTCAAGATAGTTGCAAGACAAAATTCAAACCCATATGTACCTCACTCCGTGCAGATTGTGGAATAACATAATGAATGATATCTTCAATCGAAATGTTATTATTTTAGAGAAGCGCCATGCAATATATGGCATTGGAGACCATGCCACCAATGCCATGACAACCTAGCTCTTCCTATAAAACCTCCCCCTCTACCACCCACCCAATTCACATGGACATAGCCAAGGCTCCTGACTTTATTTTGTCTATGGTGATCCAGACTACCTGTGTGATGGTTAATTTATTTGTCAACTTAACTGGATCATCGGGTGTCCACAAAACTGCTGGTTAAACATAATTTTTGAATGTGTCTGTCTGTGAGGGTGTTTCTGGATAAGATTAGCATTTGAATTGGTAGACTGAGTAAAGTAGATGGCCCTCCCTAGTTGGAAAGGATGAGCCTTTCCAACCAATTAAAGACCTGAATAGAACAGAAAGGAGAGAGAGAGAGAGAGAGAAAAGGAAAGAAGAGAGAAAGAGAGAGAGAAAGACAGAAAGACAGAAAGAAAGAAAGAAAGAAAGAAAGAAAGAAAGAAAGAAAGAAAAGAAAGAAAGAAAGAAAAGAAAGAAAGAAAGAAAAAGAAAGGAAGGAAGAAAGAAAGAAAAGGAGGGAAGAAAAGGAGGGAAGAAAGAGGAAGGAAGGAAGGAAGAGAGAGAGAAAGGGAGGGAAGAAGGAGGAAGGAAGGAAGAGAGAGAGAGAAAGGGAGGGAAGAAGGAGGAAGGAATGGAAGGAAGGAAAGAAGGAAGGAAGGAAAGAAAGAAGGGAGGGAGGGAGGAAGGAAGGAAAGAAGGAATTCTCTCTCTCTCTGCCTGACTGGTTGAGCTGGAACATTGGTTTCCTCTGCTTCTGGACTGAACTTCACACCATCAATGCTCCTGGTTCTCAGGCCTTCAGACTCAGACTAAAATTACACCACCAGCTTTTCTGTGTGCCCAGCTTGCAAACAGTAGATCATGGGACTTCTCAGCCCCCATAATCATATCTATTGGTTCTGTTTCTCTGGAGAACCCTGATTAATACACCCTGGTTCCAGATCATTGGTCCAGGAGTGACTCAAGATAAGCAAGTCGGACATCTTTCTTCAGGAAATTTCAATTTGGAACTGAGAACATTCAGTCTGGTCCAATCCATTGAAAAGAGGAAATGAAAATCCAAGTGCTATGTTGAGGGCTTACCACGGTTTCTACCATGTGACCTGGTGGCAGACAAGGCCTGACCACAAAGAAAGAGGAATGAGGTGGCCTTCAGGGGTGAGGAAGGTGGACAAGGTCTGCAAACACTGTGGGCAACTCTGCTTCTAGTTCCCATTCATTCCTGAGGGCTGGCCGTCTCTCTGTCCTGTGCCCTCCTAGACCAATCTGTGTGCTTTTAACAAATCTCCCCTTTTATGCTTAAAGAAGATCTTGTCGATTCCTTTTCCATGGAACTGAAAGAACCCTAACTATTCAGGGTCATCTGATCAAAGCAGGTCTGGAGCTTCCTAGTGGTCTAGTTTCAGAAATACAACATGAATCCTGGGGAGGTTTGAGGACTGAATAATGAACACATCCTCCAGTTTTTCCCCTCCCAAGTGCCAGTGATCTCTTCTTTCAATTTGAAAGAAACCGAAAAACTATTCTAAAGTAAGTCTCAGGCAAGAATCGGAAGAGCCAGAAATCTATGTTCTTAGCTGAAGAGCTCAGAGGGCTGAAGCAGAAGGATGGCTTGAGCCCAGGAGTCTGAGGCTATAGCGTGCTGTAATCGTGCCTGTGAATAGCCACTGCATGCCAGCCTGAGCAACACGGCAAACCCTATCCCTTAAAAAAATAATAAAAATAGGCCCAACGTGGTGGCTCATGCCTGTAATCCCAACACTTTGGGAGGCCAAGGCAGGCAGATCACCTGAGGTCAGGAGTTCAAGACCAGCCTGGCCAACATGGTGAAACCCCCTCTCTACAGAAATACAAAAATTACCCGGGCATGACGCAGGTGCCTGTAATCCCAGCTACTCGGGAGGCTGAGGCAGGAGAATCGCCTGGACCCAGGAAGCAGAGGTTGCAGTGAGCCGAGATCACGCCATTGCACTCCAGCCTGGGTGACAGAGCAAGACTCCGTCTCAAAAAAAAAAAATAATAATAATAATAATAATAGCCACACATAGTGGCCTACACCTGTTATCTCAGCTACTTGGGGGACTGAAGTACGAGGATTGCTTGAGCCCATGAGTTTGAGACCAGTCTGGGAAACACAGGAAGACCCCAACTCAAAAAAAAAAAAAATTTAGGCCAGGCATGGTGGCTCACACCTAAAAATCCCAGCACTTTAGGTGGCCAAAGCAGGAGGATCCCTTGATGCCATGAATTCAAGGCCAGCCTGAGCAACATAGCAAGTCCCCATCTCTACCAAAAAAAAAAAAATTAGAGCAAAAATATAGACATAAAGCAAGAACGTTCATGTGGGGCCACACAACAGCATGGGGTTTAAGGCCTAACAATAAGATTCAATATTAATTGCTGCCTTGATACATGGCAAAACTGGGAGGGCCTGGAATGTCCTAACCACAAGTTCTCCTCTTCCTTCACACCATGGATAAGAATCCCTTGGCCGGGCACAGTGGCTTACGCCTGTAATCCCAGCACTTTGGGAGGCCGAGACAGGCAATCACGAGGTCAGGAGTTCGAGACCAGCCTGGCCAACATGGCAAAACCCCGTCTCCTACTAAAAATACAAAAATTAGCCAAGCGTGGTGGTGTGCACCTATAATCCCAGCTACTCAGGGGGCTGAGGCAGGAGAATCACTTGAACCTGTGAGGCGGAGTTTGCAGTGAGTCAAGATCACACCACTGTACTCCAGCCTGGGCAACAGAGCAAGATTCCATCTCAGAAAACAAAAAAACAAAAAACAAACAACAAAAAAAAAGAATCCCTTGCCAAAAGACCCTTATCACCAAATGGACCAGGTGCAGCTCCTCCTTATCCCTGCGTGGGTAGTCTTAGTTCCCTCCCAGCCCATAAAACATTTCAGACAAACTAACCACTTCCCCTGTGGGAAGCAGGAGTCCCCCTATCCTCTTGATACCACAGAGCCTGCCTCCCACAGCCTCTGTTCCCAAGTTCAACTCCGTTGTGGCCCTGTGTGGCACAGTGTCTTTCTCCCCAGGCCATGAGTGTGTGTGATAAATAAACTAGTCTCAACCTCATCTGTCCAGTGCTGGGCTGTTTGTCATGTGTTTGACTATCCCTATAACCCTAGGATTGTTCCCCCGTGGGATGAATGGGAAGCAATTCAAACACAGCAGCACAGAGATGGGCCAGAGGAGGGCCTGTGTAGGTAACATGCACTTACACAGACAGGAGTAAGAGCCTTCTCTGCAAGGAACACCCCACCCCCACCCCACCACCCCAGGCTCCCAAGGACGTGGGAAAATTCACTCTGAGAGCAATGGGGCATGCCTGAAGCCGCTTGCCAGTTATAGCACCACCTGCTGGGGTCTTGTGCAAAGTGATCTATTGAGAATGGCAAGGTCCAGCCATCAAATGGTTACTAGACCATTAACTTCAGCATAACCTATATAGAAGAAATGATCGCCAACCTACGCAGAGGTTCTCATGTTAACATTCAATACTTACTTATTGAAAAGGTTTTTTAAAATGCTCAGCCAAATGAGAGCAGGCAAACTGTTTTTCTTCTAATTACAGCCACGTGCATCTTTTTCTTAGTTAATTTTCTCAGCTCTGATGATTGTCTTCAGTGGGTTCTTGACTCAATCTAAGTGAGTTCATCTGTAAAACAGGGATGATAATAGCACCTACTATACGGGGCTACAATAATAGCTGCATAGCACTTAGAGCAGCTTCAATACACACAAGATCTTAGTAAGAATTAGAGAAACATTTTTTTTTTCTTTTAAGTGGAACCTTGACTGTTCCTGACCTTTGAGAATGTCTACTCAGTGAAACCTCCACAGAGGTACAATCCATCCAGGAAGACAAGGATAACTCAAATGAATTGATGAGAGAACAAGACTACATAATGCATGATCGAAAGTGTTAAAATGTGCAGAACTGACAATCTTTCCAAACAGACAAGGGGGAGAAAAAGAATAGCATGGGCTTGGCCTGCCAGCTAAGTTTTAGAGAAAAAGAACTTGATCTTGGCCTCAATGATGCATAAAATTGTTAGAAAGAGAGGAATGGTGTTACATATGAAATGAATCTCTAGTAATTTTTCACTAGGCACTGGCTTATGGTCCCGGAAAATATTGTAATTGGCAAAACTGCATTTGGCAAAATCATGTTTAAAAATGGAAATGTCATTAACAAGTTTATCTATAAGATATATTGAATATATATTTATCTATTATACCCTAACTCAAGCCTAACCCCTCCAGGAAGGTGACCTTCTCTGAGAACCCGTCACTATCTCCTGTGGGTCACCAATGGACCAAGGCACACTTCTATGTGGCCCTCAAACTTCATAGCATAACTTACCTGCATCTCAAGCTTCAATCTCTAGCCACAAACTCAACTGTCAAGTGAATATAACTTTCTTTACCTTTTGTATGAATGACTCAGTTGCAGCTTAAGATGGCATTATTTCCAAGAGACTTATGTAGTGCCAAAGCAGCAACAGGAGCAGAAACCCAGGTCCTCAAAGTCATCTATCCATGTAAGCTGTCTGCCACCCTGTCCAGCCCTAGATTTTTGGTTCATGTGAGTTGGCCGTGGGTCATTGAGACAGACCCTGTCATCGTGTTCTTCAGACTCAGGGCCTATCTCCACTGCTTCCCTGCCTTTCTAGGCACGCAAGAACCATCCTGCAGCTAAAGTCCCTGACCCACTGCCGTTTCTTCTCTGCAGTTCAGCCACTTTCCCAGGACTGAACCCAGTAGAAGGGTCCTGGGGTTCTCAATATCAGTGTTCTTATCATTTCTCCAGCTCTCTTTCTGTCCCTCAAGCCAAAGGGCCTCTTTTCTAGTCTAAAGGTTGCAGTAGGGTTATTCATTTTGTCCCTGAGTATTTGTTCTAGACCATGAGTCTTTTCTGTTCCCCATAAATCTACCCCATGTGTCCTACACTACTTCACCTGCCCACACTGCACTCCTTTGGCTCTCCACACCTTCAAGTCCAAAGAAGTATGTTACATTTTTTTTCATGGGAGTTGGGGTGCATTCCGTTCCTTTCCTAAGCTGCAAAATAATGTATAGGATTTTCAACTATTTATGAGGCCAAAAGAATAAGATAAAATATTTGTGTGTTCATGTATGCTTTTATGAGTTTATTCACAAATATCTCCGCAAGTTAATTTATGCACATATGCTAACAAATAAGGAAGCAGGCTTTGCTCCAGGGGTGAAAAGGCCTTGTGTTCTATCAATATCTTCAAAACTTTCCAAACAGCTGTTGCACTAGAATCCTTGTCTCAAAGTCCACCTCTGGAGGAACCGAAACTATGACAATCAAATGGCTGCTGAAGGGAATGATGCCTGCTGGAAGTTACTCCGCATAAAGAAAATACCAGGCAAAGGGTCAAGACTGATCTTAGCAATGGAAGCTCCACAGGTGTTTTCTAAATTAAATACCCCATGACTTTGCCTGGCCTACATTGACATTAAACTGCTTAATATACATGGAAATGTTTTCCAAAATCAGCAAACTAACAATGGTTTTATAATACAAAAAGGTGATTTTCTAGATACCAGTGATTCTCAAATTGTGGCTGATGGACCAACATCAGTATCAGGGCATTTTGATAGAAATAAAAATTCTCAGGCCCACCCCAGACCTTAGAAAGTCTGGAGGTGACTCCAGCAATCTATGCTTTAACAAGCATGCCAGGGGATTCTGATGCACACTCAAGTTTGAGAACCACTGATATATGCTTCAGAAAGGTGACCAGGACAGTGAACTTTGTGAATGATCAGGCTCAACAGGAAGGTGAGGCCACATCATGGGATAGTGGAGCTTTCTGCCACTTATTGAGTTTGCTTTGGGGCATGTCATTTATCCTTTCTGAGTTTATATATAGAGAAAGACTACATTATATACATATATATAGACTACATTATATATGAACTAGTTTACATATGTATGTTGTAACATATATATGTTCATACATATAACATATATATGTTCAATATATATGAACATATATGTGTTAACTAGTTCATACCTCACATGAGCTACCACGAGAATGAAATGTAGCATGTGTTTGAAAGGTCCTCATAATTGGTTGTTGTTGTTGTTGTTGAGAAGGAGTTTTGCTCTTGTTGCCCAGGCTGGAGTGCAATGGCACGATCTCTGCTCACTGCAACCTCTGCCTCCCCAGTTCAGGGGATTCTCCTGCCTCAGCCTCCTAAGTAGGTGGGATTACAGGCGCCCACCACCACGCCTGGGTAATTTTTCATAGCTTTAGTAGAGACAGGGTTTCACCATGTTGGCCAGGCTGGTCTCGAATTCCTGACCTCAGGTGGTCCACCCACCTCGGCCTCCCAAAGTGCTGGAATTACAGGCATGAGCCACCGCGCCAGGCCGGGTCCTCATAATTGTTAAAAAGCCATAGAAATATGAGGTAAGCAGGCAGCCAGCTTTTTAAAAAACCAGCAACCACAGCAGAGAACAGCTTGATTGGAAGTTCCAGCACATTCTAAACAGCACTCTGAGGGCCTGAACAGCTGCTGGGATCAGCCCCACATCTCAACAAATGCAACAGCCATTTGCCTGCCCTTGCTGACACGCAGGAGAGCATCTTTCCTCCGTTGCCTGCAGTCTCCGGGGACTGGGCTCTGAGAGCAGGCAGCCACTTCTGCTTGATGTCCTCCCTTCACTGTGACTACAGATGGTGATGACTTACAAAGGGCATGTTTTAAAGATGTCTGGCTCAGCAGTTTCTCACTGCACTGTCTTCAGATGCACTGGTGACAGAGAAAAGAGCAAGGAGGCAAGGAGGAATGAGAAGAGGGCTGGATCAACTGGCCACAACCTGTCAGCTTCCTCTTCCTGTCTCACCTTGGCTTCCTGGAAGGCTTTTGCTGCTACTCCTCAGATATGAAGGGGTAATTAGGTCACAGACTGAGTAGGGTGTATGACCTGAGAAGGAGGCTGGATTCAGAATCGGGTAAGCAGTTTGCTCATGCCTCTTCCCTGTTTACAGAACAAAAGTGTGCAGCCTCCAAACAGCCCTGAGCCCTGCTGGGAATGGCTGTCAGTAGGTTCTGTGGAGAGCAGGGGCCACAGCACATTAATATCAAAGAGCTCTCCCTCCTCTATAGGTAGACTGTCACGATTCAGCCTCATCTTCTGGAATCCCGATTGGTCTTCGAGGCTGACTACTGCAGAAAAACTGATGAGCATAAAAAATCTATTATGACAGGGCCATGATGGGTTCAGCAGATTTCCCCGACATTTAGGCATCCTGGATTGAAGGCAGGTTTCCCTCACTACCTACATCTATCATAGTACTGAGATTTTTGAGCAAAGAAAAAGAGCAAACAAGGGAGACCTCCTTGTTGTGGATTTTGTTTCTTTGAGTCTAAAAGCTGGGGAGAAGTAATGCTAGTTTACAAAATTAGCTAGGGGAAAAATTTTCTGCAATTGACATTTTTCTTCTACAAATTCAGACGAGCTAACCTCCAAATCACTTCCAATTCTGAGATTCAAGCATCCCAGCAATTCTATTTGCTAGAAAATATAGAAGACTACAGTCCTTGGACACACAGAGTTGCCATTTTAAGCATAAAATGCTGGGAGCTATTTTTACTTAATACCTAAGATTATTCTCAGGTGTTTAAGCCTTTCACCTAAACAGCACAGCCTGGTTCAAGCTTCAGAAGCACAAATTGAAATGGCATTACACTTTAAGCTCCCTGGTTCTGACAAGAGACCAAGGGGAAGAAAGGGCAGCTACAACTGTCATGCTAAGGAGGAAGGATGAACAGTTGCCTTTCTTATGGCTCTGGACAAATTTTGTACATTGATTTGGAGCTCAAAACAATCCCAAGGAAGGAGGGAGGACAGGGTGTGCTTCTGGCCTCCTGGCTCCATACAGATGGCTCCAAAATATCACTGGCCCTGGCACTCTGGCCAAAAAAGACCAAGAAATGGAAGAATAATCCAAAAAAAAAGGAAGAATAGCTCAACCCTGTGGTTTTATAAACACAATTTCTCTCTTTTCTTACTAGAGCTCTCCTAAGACTGCAGCTATGGTTTTTCATATTCTTTATTTGTACAGATCCCAATTTAGCTCAAGCAACAAAATAAACCATAGCTCTCAATTAAATACACTCTGAAAACTGAAAGTTCCTGTTTGGCCGGAGGTTTATTCACATTAAGCTGAGGTCTGCAGCCTGGGAATCCCATTTCGCTTTGCCTTGTATTTTATTTCCACTGTAAGAGGATCAGGGCTGACACATTATCTCCAATTGGAAGGATATTTGGAATCTTTGCATAACAATACAATGTGAAGCTGCAGAAATTCAGTATGATCATTTTGTAGCAATGGGACACAAAGAGATTGTATGAGGCTTCTCTAAGATCTCAAAGCAGATCACTGACAGGTATGTGGATATCCCGTAATCTACAATACTATTTTAGGCTTTATAAATATTCAACAGAGTCCTCTCCTTGGGCAGCTGTGTGTTCAAGCCTCATATGATGGAGGCAAGAATTGCCCATAAAGTGCAAAGTTTTCGTTCAACACATGCCAACCAACCTCCACATCCTGAATTCAGGGTTTGATGGGAAGAGAGCTGATAAATATGTCTAGGAAGCATGGAGGCTCCTGGGAGAAGGCTGCAGACCTAGACCTATCCTCCATTCTCTATTGAGATTCAATGTTTTATTGGACATCTTAATTTCATGTCCTAAACATCCATCAAAAGGATGAGATGGTAGTGCCTATATCCAGAAAACACTTAGTATTAGTTATTCAATTAAACATTCAGAGCCTGGTGAATGGACAGGGTAGTTCCTGCCAGAGCAGCCTATCCAGCCCATTCAGAGCATATAACGATGGATGCCTCCCTGCTAAGTTCATCTCCAGGGCGCCTTCTTTGTCTTATCTATGTGGTTGCCCCTTTTTTAAGGGCTGCCTGCTCCCATTTGTGGATTCCCTCTCTTGCTCCCTGTCATAGGACGTTGATTCTCTTAAAATTCCCCCTCCCCAGGACTCTGCTCCTCAAACACATGTGCACGCGCACACACAAACACGCACACCACATCCTGCCTTTTCTTTTCCCCAGTCTTCCAGCTGAGTAGGTCATCATTCCATTCCACCTGTCATTTTCCTGGAAGGAGCTGGAGGTAGTTAGGATTCTTAAGAGTAGAAAAGGGATGAGTATAAAAGAGTAAAAACACAGAGACTATTTAGGAAATAACCACAATAGTTTAGGTAAGAAATGAGGGTAGCCTGGACAAGGGTTGAGGTAGTGGAGAGGGTGAGGAGAAATCAGACTCAGAGAGCTTAGGGGATTTGCTGATGGATTGGCTGTTAGCTGAGAGGGAAACAGAATTACGACTCCACATTTTTGTTTTGAGCAACTGGGTAGATGGTAATGCCACCTGCTGAGATGGAGGAGACAGAAAGAAGATTTGCAAGAGGTAGCCATCCGGAGGTCATGTCTGAACATAAGTCTTGAGGTGCTACTGCACATTTAAGCAGAAAGACTGAACAGAGGTAGATACCTAAATGTGGAGCCAGGGATGAAGATCTGGGAATAATCATATATCACAACCTATTTTGTTCCCTCAAGCAATGGTGAAGCAGGATATTTCAGTTAAACAAAATCCACTGGGTGCCTAACGTGTGCCTAGCATAATGGGCAAACTAAAATGAGAGACCAAAAAATTTGCTCAAAGTCCCCAAACTAAGCAACTGCATGATTCAAACAGAGGTCATCTATTCTTGTATCTAATCATTTATTGAACATGTATTAGGTGCCCACCATGTGCCAGATCCTGTGGGATCTAAAAGATACTAGGACTAAAAACATAACTAAAATAGAATAAGTGCTGATTAAAAGTTATTAGTATCATTATTTATATTGTCTAGTGGAGAATACAAAGGCATAAACAGAATTGTGGAAAAGTTTGGAAAAGCAACATTAGAGGACTTGGAGGGCATTATGGTAGTTACCAGTGAAGGCTGCCCGATCCCACTCTTTCTGTCCACTGTGCTCCTAATTAGGCCAAGGGTACCCAGCTCTGCTGTGGCAGAACTGAAGCTGTAACTCACTTATATGACTCCCAACTGGGCTTCCTACACGAGTGACATTGTAGTACTAGAACCAAGCCTTCACATCTCAATGAAAAGTGAAGACCAGAACAGCCCCAGTGCAATTTCAGTGACCCAGGTTCTCTGTTTAGGAAGTCAGTGTTTCTTCTTCACTGGCATGCTGGTATCTGCATGATTGTGACTTAGTGAGGGAAAAATTCATGCCTTAATTCTGTCTTATTAGAGGAAGCAAAGGCGGGGCTGACTATCATGGCCCCTGTACCTCCATGTCTGAACAGAATATAAAACACAAAAAGTGCAGACAACCATAATAGGGAAATACATGTGTGCAATGTATCAGAAACTGTTCTAAGAACTTTTCATACATTTGTCTTCCTTTATCCTCACAACAGTCATGTGAGGTAAGTGAAATTATTAACCCCATTTAACACAGGAGAGTACCAAGAGTCCTCCAGTGTTGTAAGTGGTAGATACAGGATGGGAACCAAGCAGTGCAACCTTAGAGCTTGCATTCCTAAATACTGTGTTACACTAAATGGATGCTTCAGTAAGAGGCACCACATTGACCTCATGGTTGTGTGTCCCCCAGCACGCCAGCACTCACATCCAAGACAGCGCCTACCTGAGGGGAAAAGTGCCCACCATGCCTACTGCTGCTCCCCCTCCCTTCTGCCCTCACCACCTCTCCCTCCCATGCTCTGCAAACACTCCCCAACAAGCCATCCCAATTTACATAATCACTCTGTGCTTCTCTGCACAGTCCTTATTTAAGCTGTCCAGAAACCCGCATAAAATAGTGGATTATTCATAGATACGAGGAACCCTTTCCATTTTGCTGCCAGTTTTAAGCTGTTAAACTGCCCACCAATCTGCTGATAAAATACAATAATGTGATTTATCTCCAAACACACAGAAACATCTCAACGAATCGGATTTACTTTATCTTCCAAAAAATTTTGTTTTGGATTTTCCAAGATGTCCTTTTCACAGCATTGTCCTTGTGATAAGTTGGATGACTTTGAGAAAAAGGCGAGCAATTCATTTATACCCACTCTCCCATCTGATTCCTAGAAATATCTGTCTGCCTCATAATCTCTCTGGAGCCTTTATTGAGCTCCCAGAGGGCAACTCTCGCATTCTCCCCTATCCTAACCTCAGGCTTCACCTCCCGGGAGAGGGACTAGGGACCAAGTAATTAAGTAGCCCCTCCTCCCTTTTATCCCATGTCCACCATCCTCAACATAATAGAGACCATAATGACCCAGGGTCTTCTGTCACTTCTTCCCACTCCACCCTCATTTCCCTGCAGCTTAGAACATCGCCTACTTGTGCAAACCCTGATCCTTTCTCCAGAGCCCAGTGGAGTCTCCATGTCATTGCAACCCATCCTCTTCGCCAACTTTTATTCTTAATTTTTTATTGTTTTTGTTTTTTGGAGACAGGGTCTGGCTCTGTTGCCCAAGCTGGAGGGCAGTGGTACAATCATAGCTCACTACAGCCTTAAACTCATGGGTTCAAGCGATCCTCCCACCTCAGCACCCCGAGCAGCTGGAACAACAGGCATATGCCATCAAGCCCAGCTAATCTTTTGTGTGTGTGTGTTTCGTTTTGGTAGAGACAGGGTCTTGCTATATTTTCCAAGTTGGTCTTGAACTCCTAGCCTCAAGCAATCCTCCTGCCTCAGCCTCCCAAAAAGCTGGGATTACAGGCATGAGCCACCATGCTGGGCCTCTTCACCCTTAGTCTTTTCCCTAAATGGTACCCAAATTGTCTTCTCTTGGCTATTCCTGGCCAGTATAGCTCTATCCCCGGAAAGAATGTGCCACTGGCAGAGCTGTACTCCTTACTTCAGGGCTTATGCTATGGTTTTTTCACAGGGCTGTAGGAGGGTTGCGGTAGATAAAGGTAGAGAGGCATATTGGTCTCTCTCTGCTGCTTTGCCTCCTCTCAGACCATGACTCTTCCATTTCAGTCAGAATCCTCTTCTCCTGGGCCCCCAGTCCCAATCCGTTCTGCCCTTTCTCCAACCCACTGCTGTTGTCACCTGATTATTCTGCTGCATTTAAGAGACCTTTGAAGGCCAGGCATAGTGGCTCACACCTGTAATCCGAGCACTTTGGGAGGCAGAGGAGGGAGGATCGCTTGAAGCCAGGAGATTCAGGCCTGCCTGAGCAACATAGCGAGATCTTGTCTCTACAAAAATTAAAGAAATTAGCCAGATGTGGTGGCACACGCCTATAGTCCTAGCTACTCGGGAGGATCACTTGAGCCCAGGAGTTCAAGGCTGCAGTGAGCTATGATCCCAGCACTGTACTCCTGCCTGGGCAACAGAGCCAGAACTTATCTGAATAAATGAAATAAAATGCACAATATATGGGTAATTCTGTTTACATTATCATTGTCTTCATCGTACCACCACTATATCAACGCCACACTCATCATCATTTCCCTTCCCTTCTCCATGCCCCTTCCACTCTAACACACCTAATTTCTTATTTCCTAAATATGACCACCTCCTTTGCGACACCATGACTTAATGCTTTACCCTCTGAAATGTCTGACAAACTGTTAGCTCGCTTTTGAACTATGACTCTGAGTTGGTCCCTGCCTTCTCTGAGCTTCCATAACACACTGTTCATACACACATGTAGGTACATTTTACACTGTTTCTAATCCAATTCCGTGGCAAATTAAAGATGGCCACAATGTCTTTGGCATGCCTCCCATTGAGAGGTAGGGTCTATGTCCCCTCCCCTTTAATCTCAGTGTGTTTATGACTATATTGACCATTAAAATATGGCAAAAGTAATTCAAGGCTTTGAGAAATTGGCAGTTTCCACTTTCTATTGTCTTAAATCACTCTCTCTAAGAGTCTTGAGCAGCTATAAGGTGGATGACTTGAAGTCAAGAGTTTGAGACCAGCCTGGCCAACATGGTGAAACCCCATCTCTACTAAAAATACAAAAAATTAGCCAGGCATGGGTAGCGAGAGACTGAGGCAGGAGAATCACCCCAACCCAAGAGGCAGAGGTTGCAGTGAGTCAAGATCATGCCACTGCACTCCAGCCTGGGAGACAGAGAGAGACTCTATCTCAAAAATAAATAAACAAGTAAATAAGTCTTGGCTACCTGAGGCTGTTATACTGAAGAGACCACATGCAGATGCTCTGGCCAAAAGACCCAGCTGAGCCCAGCCTCCTAGCCAGCCCCACTCAGAGGCCAGCTATATACGCATTAATCCATCTTTGACCATACAGATCAATCAGTCCACCAAACAGTGACCACTGAATGGCCTCTATGCATACCACATGGACTAGAAAAATTGCCCAGAAGAGCTCTGCCCAAATTCCTAATTTCAAAATTCAAGATATATAATAAAGTGGCTGCAGTTTTAAGCTGCTGAGGTTGGAGTGATTGTTATATAGATTTTCCAGCTTCGAAAGGCTGCCTACATTTCTTGCCAGCAATTTAGCACCTTTCCTCTGCCTTCTTTTCTGTCCTTACATCTATTTCTCTAGCCCTCCTGAGTCCTTATTACAAGGACACTGTGATTACAGTAGGCCCACCTGGATAATCCAGAATACTGTCCTCATCTCAAGTCCTTGATCACATCTGCAAAATCCCTATTGCCATAATGTAAAGTAACACATATACAGGTTCCAGGGATTAGGACTTGAACATTTTGATGGCCAGTATTCTGCCTAGCCACATCAACAAATGTCTCAGATTCCTCAAAAGATTTTGACATCACCAAGAGGGGCTTGGAGTATGTAGATGAACACAATGCCTTCTGGTTGGTCTTGTTCATATTGTACATACATTTCTTAGGATTTTGCAAATATTCTAGTATCCAAAATGTTATTATCTGGCTCTTAAAATTTGAAGTCTTTATGTCACAAGTGACAGGCTAGAGCTTGTGCAAAGTGAATGACCCTATGTGTAAAGTGTTTGGAATCAAGGGTGAGATGCCAGGCCACAATAAACTCATACTTACCTACTGGGGGAAATACCATGATCATGAAGGTGGCTTTCCCAGGGTGAGGCTCATCCATTGCACGCTGGATGTGTTGACGTCTGCAGGAAACCTGACTGCATAATTTGTGGTAGTGGGGGTACTTCACTTTCATTCCTTTGTATCACTGTTGGTCAAATGATAGAAGTCATACTTGGGATGTGTGGCTATTGTTTTGCTTTGTGACTTACAGTTCTCTAAAGTAGATATGACATTATGGGGTATGTTGTATGCCTTTGCAGCCATTTCTCAGGATGTATACCCTTAAATATCTCCAGAAACAGCAAGTTATACTATAGCGTAATCTATGCTAGTGACAGCCTTCCTTTGTACTTTCTCTCCCACTTTACTTTTTGGTTTTTTTTCCAAAATAATTTGATATTTTTATTGAAGTAACGTGAGTGTTTTTGAAAATATCATACAAAAGGGTTAAATCTGAAAGATGACTCTTCCCCTGACCCCTCCTTCCTCACCTTCCCCATTTGTAGCTGTTTCTTCATTTACCTCCATATTTTTGTGCTGGTATTTATCATAAGAATTTCACTGACATTTCCCACCCCAGTACCTTCCCTCCTCCATCCTTTCATTATATAGAGTGCTATAAACTCCATGTCTGATTCACTTGGTCAGCAGTATGAATCAACTGAGATAAAAAAGAACACTATAGTTAGAGAAAACTACTTTCAAATAGTTCTACACGTTTTTAGATGACTCCCAATATGATCATCTAAGGAATGGAACCCATAATCAGAAGACCTAGTTTCAAGTGCTGACTTGCATGGACAATTTCACCTGATACCTGTGTTCCAGAGGCTTAGGCCAGGACCTAATAAATGGACAGATAATAAATATTTTAGGCTCTGCAGGTCATAGCAAATACACAACTCTGCCATTATAACCCAAGGAAGCCATAGGCAATACATAAATGAGTGGGCATGGCTACACTGCAAATAAAACTTTATTTGCAAACACAGACTGCAGCTGGTTTGGGCCCCAAGGCTATAGTTTGCCAACATCAGGATATTACATGGAGATAATAAAAACACATGGGATAGCTATAAGCATTAAATAAATAAAGGTGTGACAGTCCTTTACAGACAAGAAAGCATGACATAGGTGAGAAGAGAGAGTAGGGCTGAGAAGGGAGGCAAAGAGCACTGAAGATAACCTTGCCTTACTCCTTCATTTGCTGCAGGGCCGCTCTGTTTATTATGGCACATGATGTGTAAGATGGTACTGAATATGAGCGCTGAATCTGCAGTCTTGCTTCTAGAGGCCAAATTTGAAATCATATTTACAGTACTGTTTCCTGCAGCTTGAGTTATTTAAGATTTGGTTAATACATTTCAGAGCATACAGACTGGCGTACAGTTTTCAAGACTAGATATAACATCTTATATAATTGACCATGCAAAAAGTTTTAGGCAAGGAATTCTCATAGCTCTATTATTTTAACAATCAACAAAGATTTACTGATATGTCAGGCACTGTGCCAGAGGGCTGTGGACACAAAAATGAATGAGACATCACTTTAACTCAAGTCCTTGGTTTAGCAGGGGAAGCGCACATGTATAAAGAGAACAATAGCAAAATGCAATAGTTGTCTTTAAAAAAGAGAGAGACAGTGGAAGGCTGACATTCCTGCTGTTCATGTCTTTTAAACATCTTTAGGACATGTTGATAGATCTCCACATTTTGAATTCTGCCTTCTCGATGTAGAATCAAAAAAAAAAAGTTTCCAATCTCCCTTGCTATTAGAATGGAGGCATGTCGCTTTGTTTTTACCAATCAGACACATCTACACAAGACCTGGATTTGTAAGTAAGTTATGTGAGGGGAAAAGGAAGAGGGTGGGACACCCATTCCATGGGTGATGGTGGCAGCAGAGCAGGCCAGCATGATTTTGGGACCAAAGGAAGAAACTGCTTCCTCACCAGGAGAACCCGACTCTGGTATGGTGCTGGGAACTGCTGCTGCTGGAAAATGAATCTGAAACTTATTTCCCAAGCCCTTCCAACAACTCGGTAAGCTTTCTAATTTCCTCAATTGATTCTTTCCTGCTTAAGCTAACTAAAGTGGATTCTGTCATCGGCTATTAAGAACCTGACTGATACATGAAGATTGTTCAAGGTTACTTAAAGTTAAATGGAAAAATAAAGTTTCTCAGAGGCAGTGATGTTAAAGATGAGTCATTCCAGAAGGACATCTCGGACTGAATGAATTGCATCTGCAAAGGCCAGGAAGCATATGAGAGCATGCGTTGCTCAGGAAATGAAGATGAATGTGGTTGAAATGTATGGAGCATAAGAAAAGTGACTAGTGAGGGTGCTGAAAATGTAGGCAGGGATCATGAAGGTTTTTCAATGCCTTGATTGGACATTTATATATTGAATAAATGGAGAGCCATTAATGAATTTAAGCAGGAGATGGTCAATATCATATTAGCATTTTCAGGAGATCCCTTGGCAGCAGTGTGGAGAATTGAATGCGGGGTAGGAGAGAGACCAGAGCAGGGAGAACTATTAGGAGGCTATTGCACTTGTCCAGGTGAGAGGTAATAAGATCGAAGTTGAAGCAGTGGTGGTATAAATGGAATGGGGGGAGGAGATTGATTTTTTTCTGCTGAGATTTTGATTTAATCAGGAAAGAAGAAACAGCAGATTCACCAATATGTTGCTTCTCTACTAGAGGAGATAATATTCCATTAAAAACATCTAAATTGCAACCTTGGATCTCTATCTCCCCAGGGCACACTGCACAGAGCCAGCATGTGAAACCCCTGTGGATACTATCGTGAATGTTTATGTGTCTCTAGAAGTGGATGGGAGGCAGCGAGATAAAAAGCCTTATTTTATGGCTATGGCCCAGAGCATTCCTTTCAGAAGGAGAGGTGCCTGTGGGACAAGTTGTGAGATAAATCTTATAAAGATGACATGGTTATTCATTTCCACAGAGTCCCATTTTTCACAGGGTTTCTACATCCAACTTATATCCCCTTGTCTAGGGCAACTCATCAAGAAATGTCCCTACCAAGAAAGCTGGAGTTACTAACCATATATGACTTCTAATACAAGGGCTCCAGGGGTTTCCAAACAATTTTTCTATTCAAAGTAGGGAAGATGGAATGGGGCATGGGACTCCAGGAACAGGAGGGTGTGAGAGAAAGTAAGCAAGAAAAAGAGACAGTGCAGACGTTCTCAGGTGGCCCTCCCTGCTACACATTCATGCAATGCCTTTTATGCCATTTTTCCCTCCCTCTTGCTCTTTCTCCTTTAAATTGTAACAGTATAAAATATTTAAAGGAATACGTTTGAAAAGGCAGTAAGTCACCTGTAATCACATCATCTTAGCACAATTAGCTTTCCTTTTCGTGCATTCACTCCTAGCCCTTGTCCTCCATTTGGGTGGCTAATTTTAGAGTTCTTATTGGAATATATTTCTTCGGCCCAGTTCCCCAGAAAAGCAGACTCTGAGTCAGATCTCCATGTTGGAGGTTTTTGGGCACAGACAGCATTCATTGTGGGGAGTAAGGGAAGCAGAGCTAGCCAGAGGAAGACATTGGACTGAAATGCAGTAACCCCTCAGAGTTCCCCAGATGAAGGCAGGCTCCCACCTTTGCCAACCAGTTAGTGAAGTCAGATCGCCTCCAGGGAAGGCCATCACCACCCGTGAGAAGGTTCCTTTCAGACAAAGGCCAAGTCCAGAGAAGAGCTCAGCTGCGAGTCATAAGCAGCCAATATTCCTGGCAAGTGGGGGAAAGAACGCCTTGATTTCAAAGGCCATACCTAGGCATGCAACAAGCATATAGAATCCAAGCATAGGGATCAGTAGCACTGCACTACATTAGCAATCTTAAGCAACACGACAAGTCAGCTGGGAAATCATGGGCTTCTTCAGGGTCACACAATGCCAGGTATCAACTCTCTTTCTTCCACATATCAGCTTTTTTTTTTTTTTTTTTTTTTTTTTACTTTGAGTTCTGGGATACATGTGCTGAACGTGCAGGTTTGTTACATAGGTATACATGTGCCATGGTGGTTTGCTGCACCTATCAACCCATCACCCAGGTTTTAAGCCCTACATGCATTAGGTATGAGTCGTCAGAGAAGCACCTCTGAGCCCAAGTTTCTTTAACGTTAAAATGAGAAAAATACTAAAACCTGACACTGAGGTTTGCAGGAAGATGAAATAAGATAGCATTTACAGGCTATATAGCAAATAGTAAGCACTAACGAAATCAAACTTACTATGATTAGCATTCAGTTCATCTTTGGTCTGTTGAAACATTACATGTGGCAGTCACGTTTAACAGCTGCGTAATATTGCATCATAATGAATAGTTGCATTACTTTACTTAACCATCTTCTAGTATTTGATACAAAGGTTGTTGCCAATTAATCACTATTAGAGAGCAAGTAAAAATATGTCTCTTTGCCATGTAACTTTTTTTGTATTTTATTGGTTCCTTAATTCTCTTAGGTAAATTATATTCCTGTGTCAAGTGATGTGGATGGCTTCTGTACGATTCTCATTTTCTAAGTCATTCATTCTCTGCAAGACTGTCATGAGCCTCCTCTCAATGAGAAGTGCTGTCACCCAAAATTTCTGACAGAGCTTCAGCTTCTTCTTCCAGCTCCGGCCGTATGATTGCAGAATCTTTTACTCAAAATATAAATGTATGAAACAACAAACAATCTGAAGTTGTGTTTTGTTTTGGGTCAACTCTGTTATACCCCAGACACACACATACACACACACAATTTCAGAAATCAAATTCAGGCTGGGCATAGTGGATCACACCTATAATTGCAGCACTTTGAGAGGCCAAAGTGGGAGGATTGCTTGAGCCCAAAAGTTCAACACTAGCCTGGGCAATACAGTGAGACACCTGTCTCTACAAAAAATTTTAAAAATTAGCCAGGTGGGATGGCACATGCCTGTAGTCCCAGCTACTCAGGAGGCTGAGGTGGGAGGATTGCTTGAGCCTGAGAGGTTGCGGCTGCAGGGAACTGTGATCACATCACTGTACTCCAGCCTGGGCGACACAGTGAGACCCTGTCTCAAAAAAAAAAGAAGTCAAATTCAGACTATTTGCACCTTTAGTTTCATAATTAGGTTGGGTTCATAGTTTTTCCCCTTTTACTAAAAATAATTTACGGTTCTAGTTGCCGTGTTTAGGATATATGTAAATGTAAATCATATGAAATAGAGAAGAAAATTGTTTTAAACACATTGACAGTTTAAAAAAAAGAAAAAAAAAAAACCTTAAACATAGCCAAAAATGATTGTAATAATAGTGATTAATTCTGGGTGGTTGAATAATAGGGACCACCATCTTCTCCTTCTTCATCCTTTTCAGTATTTTACAAGCATTCCAAGTGTTCATGTCCATCTTAGAGTGCAGGGTTGGGGGCAAGTTTGGGCATTTGTCAGACTGACACGGATACAAGACCTTCCTGGCCATTCACTGGCTAGATGATCCCTTGAACTTTACTTGTCGGCTCACAGGGTTCCTGTGAGGACTAAAAGATATTAAAGCAAATATAGCTGTCCCTAGTGAGTAGTTGGCACCCAACAAAGATTAGATTCCCTCCCCTCTAAAATGGAGGTGAGGACAGCGCCACCTGGTGGCCCCTGAGGCTGTCGGCCCCTTCCATTGGACCAAGTGAACATTCCCCCACTCATACTCCCTTGAGGCCACCTCCTTTAAGGCTGAGGCTCAGAAGGATTAAGAATAAAGAGCAATTATAGAACAGATACTGAATAATCAGTTAATTAACATTTCAGAGATAAGGGAACAGAAAACTCAAATCCCATAGTATAAATGAATGGCAGACTGAGTCAAAAGGATCCAACTCATAAAAATGTTCCACTCAGAGCCAGAGGAGGCTTCCCGCTCCCAGCCTGGCTGGTCTTTTGCTTTCTCCTCTTGTCTTACTAAATCTTTTATCTCCCTCTCCCTCCTCCTCCCTCTCTCTAATACTGTGTTCTCCCTTTTCTCTATGGCTCCTGTTCTTATTTTGCCAGTTTTTCCCATATTTCCCTATTTTCCCTCCCCTGGATTAACTGAGCAGTTTGGGGTTTGCATTCTGTATTTTAATATTATGGGAGTGGAGGCTTTGATTTTTATGTCCAAAATATTTTATCAAGGTTTTTATTTTAAAAGGTGTATATATCATGAAAGAAGTATTTTATTTGAGTCGGAGGAAAGCCACAGAAGGAAAGCCTCCCCAGTGGTTTAGTGTTGATCCTGGATATTTTGAGCCTGTCAATTTGCTCTGTGAATCTGCTTTCCAGATATGTCAGCAAGACTGCATAGGCTTCAAGCGTTTTCTTGAGATTCCCCAAAGAACTAACCCAAGGAACACAGAGAGGATTAGCAGCCTCTCAGACCCACTCAATTCCTGGAAGATTCTGATACAACTACTGTCTCAGGTTCAAAGGCTTTAGTCAGAGTAACAGGCATCCTCTCTGAACCAGCAGCCCAGTGGTACATGGCTGGGTCCCTGGGGGTTGGCAGTGGTAGGAATCTAGGAAGAGCGGTCACAACGGCCCCAGCAAACTAATGTACTTTCCTTTCTGGCTTGAGCCCCATTGGGCAGTGAAGGAAGTGTATGTCTGTATTAGTCTGTTCTCATGCTGCTAATAATGACATACCTGAGACTGAGTAATTTATGAAGGAAAGAGATTTAACTGACTCATAGTTCCACATGGTTGGGGAGGCCTCACAATCATGGCGGAAGGCAAGGATGAACAAAGTCACATCTTACATGGTGGCAGGCAAGAGAGAGTGCTTGTGCAGGGGAACTCCCATTTATAAAACCATCAGATTTCATGAGACTTATTCACTATCATGAGAGCAGGATGGGAAAGACCTGACCCCAAGATTCAATTACCTCCCACCAAGTCCCTCCCACAACATGTGGGAATTATGGGAGCTACAATTCAAGATGAGATTTGGGTGGGGCCACAGCCAAACCATATCAATGGCCAACAATCACTTCTGTTCACAAGTGGGCTGTGGTCCGCTACTCAGATCAAGATTAAGAGTATAACAATCCACATATGCCTGGACCTCAGACAGCAGGGCCAATATAGGTCGGCAGTGTCATTTGCGACAGGAGAGACTGCAATGAGCAGAGTTTAGATTTACACAAAAAAGTACACTTTTATGAGAACAGTAACTCCTTGATCTTCATCTTTTCCTGAAATGTCTGTCCAAATTCTCTTTGGACTGAGTTCTATTTATTGGTTACAAAGGCAGAGAGACATGCCATCTTAGATATTTAGGAAAGGAGAGGCAAATTTTTGCATGTGTTGTAAACATTTAGATGCCAATCATTCAGAACAAGCTATTAGAAACCCTGGCCTTTCCAAAGAACCCAGCTGCAAAGAACTGCAGTTCACAAGAGCGGCACTGCCTAGCTGAGAGCTCACACCCCAGTTGCTGTGGTCTGGCCTTGACCTTGGACCCACCAGCTTTGATGACAGGGCAACCCAGACTTGCTCTGCTCGGATCTTATACCACTTAATGACAACCCCCCAGAATCCAGATTGGCCAATCCCTAACCTGACTCAGGCTACACAATTAGGTTTAGGTATACCGTGCCCCTCACTCTCTCCAATGACTAGGAGGCCCTGGTCTGGCCAAGTTCTCCCGTTTAATATTATTAGTACTGGTCATTTTGGGACTCATGACTAAGAAAGGACAGTAATGGAAAGCACTCAGAGCTCTTCTCCAGAAGAAGGAGGTGATTAACTGTCAGCCACAGCCCAGGCAATTGAGCATGAATGCTGAAGGTTTCACAGCTTGAAAACTATGACAAAAGGAAGGAGAAGCAACCAGGTGGCCAGGAGACTCTGGTGGATTGCACCAGATAGAAAAATAGGAAATGCCATCAACAGGGCAGACATGCCATGGAGATGGACCTGGAGCAGAGGGGACAGAGACAGAAACAGTATCTGTAAAACTCCACCTACCCATAGGACTAGAGTATTATCATCTATGGCAGCAGTTCAGTTCTGGGCAGAGCCCCGGAGACTCACAAGACAGTTAAATCTGATGGAATCTAAGACATCTAGTTTAGGTTATCTGCATCTAAAACTACCTCAAAACGTAGTGAATTAAAGCACGCTCCTTTTTTATTTTATTTCCTATTATTCTGTGGGTTGGCTGGGACTCAGCTGGATGGTTCCTTCCTCTGGGGTCTCTCCTGAGGCTGCAGTCAGGTGGCTGCACCTTCCAGGATACCTTCTCCCACATGTCTGGCTGCAAGTCTGGAGTGTTTCTCTCTCCCCATGTGGTCTCTCCACATGGGCTTCTTTCCATGGCAGCTGAACCCTAAGAATGACCATTCCAGAAGGACAGGTTCCCACTATCTGATTGCACCACACATGTTAATGCTCCATTGACCAAAGCAGTGAAATGGCCAAGCCCAGAATCACAACAGCATACATACCAGGAGGTGAGGTGCATGGGAGCCCCAAATAAACAGATGTTCTTATCTGCACTCACTCAATTTTTCTTGTGCTGCCAATATTTTATCTTATTTTGTTCTCTTCCTTTCTCCATTAATATTTTATATAGTTTTTGTGAAATTCCCTTCTTTTCTCAGCTGAGCCAAATGAAAAACAGATTTTTTCCCCACTTCACTTGAAGATTCTAAAATGAAAGCAGTGCCGCTTGCCCTGCTCTCCTACTTAAATACACACACACACACACACACACACACACGACACACACCCATCATGATGGTGGCCGTGGAAGTCAGTTGGACCAACACCAAAAGAAAGCTGAGCCCCTGGGAAGGCAGTCATTACCAGTGTTCAACTATCCTTACCTGAGAGTCTTCCTTCCAAACACTCTCAGCAAAAACTTTCCAGTGCCCTGAGTTTGGTTCTTCTTTTAAGGGAAGCTGCTTCCTCACACAATAGACATTGTTATGTCACTGGTTACAACAAAGCTCTATCACGACTCAAGGACTTTAAAGACAGTAGCCTGAGCCCAGTTACTGAATGGTGCTGTTTTATCTAATGTCATCAGATCTCTAAAAAGATATTCACCTGAAAGTTGAGTGAAGCCTCTCTATTGTCTTGGGACCAACTCCTTAGTGGTACCCATAGCATAGTGACCTGCTGCAGTCCCTGACAACTTGAACTAAGAAATAACTCAATCTCCTTATTAATGGAAAACTTGATTGAAATGGAAATTGTATGTACTTCTCCACTTACATAATCACTGAACAACGCTGGAAGAATTCTGCAGGCATTTTGGCTGCATTTAGCACCTTCTGTTTCTTTTGTGAGTAGGGAAAATTCACGCAAAGAAAAAATACATTTAAATGAAATAAGGATTGGGACAGGCTCAACCAAACAGAAAATGTGCAATCTAAATAACAAAGGATTCCAGGACCTGAATCTGGCAGCAATCTAACCAGCCCCACTTTCAAATATATAGTTAATAAAGAATACATTGGATCACACTCCATGCTCTTAATTTTGAGTTTGATAAGTTACTAAGACCCTTAGCACTGCTCATTTCTGATGCTCACTGGGATAAGGAAAATGAGTGCTGCCCTAACCCAAAAGGTTGGTCAGTACCAAGGAAAGATCACTTACAGGCAAAATTGTTTTGCTGATCTCCTGGGCAAGCACCATGTTGGACAGCTACAAACCATCTCTGAGCAATTCCAAACCAGTCAGCTTATCTTCCAGCTTTGGAAGAGATGGCTGTTTCTTTCATTGCACTTGAAGGTAAAACACTTGGCTTGCCTGTAAGGATCAGTGGTGCAAAAACTGTGTGCATTTAAGTGCTAGCATCACACTCAGCACAGTGAGAGGCTTCCTGCATGAGAAGCCATCAGAAGCTGAGCCCTCCCAAGGAAACAGCCAGTTCCTGTTTTCGGTCTGACTGTCACTCTGGGTCTGAAACACACCTTCATTGAATGGAGTGTTGGCCTTTATTGGCTGCTCTGTTCATGCGATTTTCTTTCTTTCTCCCTCTTCCTGACCTCTCTCTGATAGACACAAGGTGTTGAATTCCTACAATTCTACTATAGTTGATCTCTTTCCCTCTGGCTGTCTGACCACTCTCTTCCAAGTTTTAGAAGACAGTATAATAAATGGTTAAGAGCAGACATCTGACTGCCAAGGTTCAAAGCTGGCCCCTCTACTTACTAGTCTGTGACCATTACAAGACACTTATTTCTCTATGCTTAATGTTCTCATCTGAAAAACAGGAATAGTAAGGTTCCCTCGTGGTGTTGTGAATGAAGCATTTAATACTGGATCATAGTACACCATCAATAAATGCTATCACTACTAGTAGTAGTAATAATAGTAGCAGCAGCATTATTGTTTTTATTATTACTGCAACAACTAAAATTTTAATTCCCAATCTAAGTTCAGCCAGGCCATAGTCCCAAACCCAGGGCTGTCCACAGGCAGGAGAAATGTAGCAGTCCCTCCATGGCTCAACACCAAGTCCATGTTGCTGCGTATCCCCCTCTGACCTTAGTACCTCAAACAGCCATTTCCTTTTCTTTTCTTTTCTTTTCTTTTTTTTTTTTTTTTTTGATCTTGCTCTGCCGCCAGGCTGGAGTGCAGTGGCACAATCTCGGCGCACTGCAAACTCCGCCTTACAGGTTCAAGCGATTCTCCTGCCTCAGCCTCCCAAGGCCAGGGCAACCCAGACTTGCTCTACTCGGATCTTATACCACTTAATGACAATCCCCCAGAATCCAGATTGGCCAATCCCTAACCTGACTAAGGTGCACGCCACCACACCCAACTAATTTTTGTATTTTTAGTAGAGACAGGGTTTCACCACGTTGGCCAGGATGGTCTCGATCTCTTGACCTCATGATCCCACCTGTCTTGGCCTCCCAAAGTGCTGGGATTACAGGCATGAGCCACTATGCCCAGCCAAACAGCCATTTTCAAATGGGCGTCCACGGTGGGGATTGCTACTCCACAGTCAGTCCCATGAACTCCACTGTCCAATACCTTGCTGCCAGGCTTTCTGCCCAGGACCCCAGCCATCTTTTCTAGCTGGATTGCAGCCTTTGATTCCCTCTTATTAGGTCACAGAATCTCCTTCTGAAGTCTGCAGCCAGCTTTTCTATTCATTTCCTCTATTCTGCTTCTCACATCACCAACCAAACTTCTGGCTGCTCAGGATCACCTGTGATCACCCATTGTTGGCCCTGTGTGGGCCTGGCTCCCAATGTTGCCAGCCCCACAAATGACAGTAAATAGATAACAGTTATGAGTACATACCAGGCGTTGTTCTAAAAACTTTATGCAAAATAACTCATTTTCTCCTCACATCAACTTTAGGAAGCAGGTACTATTATTAGTTCATTTTCGCTTATAAGGTAACTGATGGACAGAGAGGTTCAGTAGTTTTCCTGAGAAATCACAGCTACTTAATGGTGGCTCCAGGATCAACCCTAGAACTGTGGCTCCATAACCCACCCTACAGTATATAGGAAAACTCTCCTAAAACACTGTGTGTGTGTGTGTGTGTGTGTGTGTGTGTGTGTGTGTGTGTACATGATATAAGAAAAAATGCTTTGGAAGGTGCTAGTGAAATATAAATTTTCTCTTGTATTGCAGCATTTAATACAAGGTCTTAAAATAGGAAGCAAACAAAAAATATTAACTGATTGAACAACCCTTGTAGCTGGAAAAATGTCCCACCCGAAAGCAGGGCATATCAGTTCATTCAGACTAGATTTTCTGTGCTCTGATTCTGATCCCTAAGGCCTGAAGACGGACCTTCCAGCATGGAATCACCTCCTGCTGTCATTTCCGCCAACTTATTGCCCCACGTCCACATGGAGAGATGTTTGGGACCTGGGACTTACTTTGAGGTGTAGTCAATAGCCCTCATCCACTGTTTCTCTCTTTCTATAGAGCTTACATAGCATTCATGTGCCCATAAGCTCATCTCTCAAATGCTAACCTTATACTTGCTGCTGTGGTTGAACCCCAAGCTTTAGTCTGGGATGGGGGTGACTGTCATGTTGCTATCCAGCAAGCACTGGGTAATTCCCTAGGATTTCAAGAGGCAGATGTGCAATCTGCCACATGCTATGAGCTCCTTGGAAGACACCAGATCATTAGGTACCAGCCCTTCCTATTTCTGAGTTCTTTAGAGTTGAGCAATGTCCTTTTCACACACAAAGAACATCAAAAATTATAAATCTTTATTAAACGCTGAGCCCATTTACAGAGGTTTCAGCAAGAGACACAGCTCATTCAATCTTTGCTTCGTCAGGCAGTTTGGAAAGCACTTTTTAAGAATACTCAAAACGTACATTTAAAGTACACCTTAACATTTCATGTGATTAGAACTCAGTTTAAATTCTAACTAAAATATGCAAATAGCCAAAGCATGCCTTTAAGATGAGATACAATATTATTATCATTTTCTCAGTACTGTACCGGTTACTCCATGCTGGGAAGAATCTAATCCAAAATCAATTCTCATCATGCAGGAATCACCAAGCAAACTGACATAAAAACTGTCATCAGGAGGATAAATAATTTCGGAGAACAAAACAATTCATTGAAGTTGTGCAGCTTCTCTGGGGAAAAGGTAAAAGCCTGTTTCCAGTTGACTAGTTCTGTCTGGAATCACCCATAGTTTGGACAAAGATGCCAAGCACTCTCTCAGCTCGAAGAACATTCATAATAACAGTGACAAAACATTATAATTAGAAAACTCTTTACAAAGTGTGAGTAATCACATCTGATCCTACAGCAACACTGTGACATCAGTATCATTATCCCCATTTTAGAGCTCAGAGAACAAAATGACAGGTCATGAGACTTGCCCAATATTACACAGCAAATTTGTTCATCCATTTAATAAATATTTGTTGAGAAATCACCACATGCAAGGCATCGAGATACATACTGGGGGACTAGAGAGGAAGAAGACATTTTCCGTGTCTGAATAATATTCGGAAACATCAAGCTATGGGATTTCTTCCTGCTATCTTTTATCTTTCCCTGACCTTCTCGTTTCTCCTTTAAACAAGCCTTTCACCAGCTCTGAGCTCACAGCCCCAAGGGAAACATTTAGCAGGGGGAAACAAAAGTAGCTCATATGGCTTCTGGCTTTAATGTTCCAAAAGCCTAAATTATTGAATATTACAGGAAAAAAAGAGTGTGTCTTAAAGAAACTTGAAGAAATAATTTTTCCCAGTCTAGAGCAAGGTTCTCCTAGTGCTCAGAGGAAAGGAGAGGAGAACAAGAGGAAGAGGAGATCGAGGGGTCCTGGGAGAAGAGGGGGCCTGTGCCTCCTTCCCAACAGTGCTACCAGGGAGGAGGAAGCCCTAAAGGGAAAATTGACAATGTGTTTGTCTAAGCTTCCTGGAACCTAGCCTCAGCAGTGTGGTTAGGAGCAGCAGAGAGTCAAGTCATTTGATGGGACCACAAACACAGGGACAAAGGATGGCTCCACAATTGACCTATTTGGACTCATGATCCTGTGTTATATGACCCTGGAACTAGGGGACATGTCTGAGGTTGGGGACTCCAAATAGAAATAAAAAGTTGAATATAGAAAATAAAGAGATACTCTAGTTCTAATACACCTCTGTTTATGGTCTGAGATGCATACCTACTACCCAGATAATAAAAATTAGTGGAGAAGGAAGTCTCATTTCTAGAAAGATAGCATAATTTCCCAGTCCACTGACCTTCTTGCAAATAACTAAAGCTAGGCACAGTGGTGCATACCTGTAGTCTCAGCTAGTCAGGAGGCTGAGTCAGGAGGATTGCTTGAGCTTGGGAATTTGAAACCTGTCTTGGCAACATAGTAAGACACATTTCTAAAAAAATAAAATAATGTAAACTCTGAACACCACTAAAATATTACCCGATGCCTCTGAGGAGTGAACAGAATTTGCAAGGGAGCTGAAATTTGGAAGAAGGGATTGGCGCCAGGTGAGTCCCTCCTCTTTGTGGCTTTGGTCCACAGGAAAGCTGTGGGCATGACATGACTTGGAGTGGCTTCTGAAAGAAAACTTGTCATCTCTCTGGCCAGAGGAAAGAGGAGGCATGGCAGCCATGGCCACAGAAAAGTAAGGGAACATTCCAGAGAGAAGAAAGCCAAAGAAGGCGTTCTCAGAGTCATATGCAACTCTGCCCAGTCACTGGCTGGCTACTGAGTCACAAATATCAGGGCAGGCTGCAAACATCACAGCTTTGAGAAGTGGGAGGGCTGGAAACTGAGCTGAGATTTGGGCTGCAGCCCAGCTCCTATAACCATGCTCAATGAAGTAAGGGAAAATATGCTCACAATGAAATAAATCTTAGCAGAAGAGTAGAAAACATAAAAAAGAACTAAACAGAAACATTAGAACTGAAGAAAACAATATCTGAAAATTATAAATCCACTGGATGGGCTTAATATCAGAACGAATATGACAGAGGTCAGTGACTTTGAAGACCAAAAAAAAAAAATTATCTAGTTTGGAAAAACAGAGGAAAAAAAGATTGAAAAAAGTCCTAGGAAACTATGGAACAATTTCAAACAATATAACCCAGAAAGAGAAGATAAAGAGAAGGGGAAAGAAAAATATTTAAGAAACAGTGGTTGACATCACTTCCAACTAGCAGTCCCCTATTCTTTTGCTTTACCTCCACATGGAGAGAGACCTGGGATCCAGACTTGTTTTGAAGCTTGTCTAGTAGTCCTCACAAATTTGACGAAAAACATAAATTTAAGGATTCCAGATGCTCAGCAGACATCAAACAACATAAATACAAAGAAAACTAAAAGTATGCTTAGGCACGTCATAGTAAAACTGCAAAAAAAAAAAAAAAAAGAGAGAGAGAGAGAGATTAAAAATAAAAGTCTTGATGGTAGCACGAAAAACACAACATATCACATTCAGAGTTAAAAAAAAAAAAAAAGAGGACCAAATGCCAGGAAACTTATCAGACATCATGGAGAGGCCTGGCGCAGTGTCTTACACCTGTAATCCCACCACTTTGGGAGGTCGAGGCAGGTGGATTACATGAGATCAGGAGTTCAAGACCAGCCTGGCCAACATGGTGAAACCCTGTCTCTACTAAACATACAAAAATCTGTCGGGTATGGTGGCATGTGCCTGTAATCCCAGCTACTCAGGAAGCTAAGGCATGAGAATTGCTTGAACTTGGGAGGTGGAGGTTGCAGCAAGCCAAGATCATGCCACTGAACTCCAGCCTGGGTGACAGGGCAAGACTCTGTCTCAAAAAAAAAAAAAGAGAAGAAAAGAAAAGAAAAGAAATCATGGAGGACAGAAGACCACATCAACCCAGAACTCTATATTCAATGAAAATACCCCTCAAGAATGAAAGTGGCAGGAAGATGTGTATAGATAGCATGAAACTAAGAGAATCTAACACAAACATGCTTATGCTATAAGAAATGCTAAAGTTAGTTCTTCAGCCCTACGAGAAATCACACCAGAGGAGCTCAGATCTTCATTATTTTGGTTAAGTAGATATAGCATTGCCTTGCTGAATGTGGAATGTAGGTAGAAAAGATACGTGTGACAATGACAGTATAAAGAATGGAGGCTGGCAAATGGACCCCAATGGTTCAGCGTTTTACATTCTGTGGCAAATGCTGCAACTGAGTAGCTAAGGATGTTTTATCAGTCAAAATTTAGTCAGGAGGCCAGGTGTAGTGGCTCCTGCCTGTAATCCCAGCACTTTGGGAGGCCACTGAGGGTGGATCACTTGAGCTCAAGGGTTCAAGATCAGGCTGGGCAACATGGTGAAACCCTGTGTCTACCAAAAAAACATAGCCGAGCATGATGGTGTGGGCCTGTAGTCTTAGCTACTCTGGAGGCTGAGGCACAAGAATCACTTGAACCCAGGAGGCGGAGGTTGCAGTGAGCTGAGATGGCACCACTGCACTCCAGCCTGGGCTACAGAGAGAGACTTTGTCTCAAAAAAAAAAAAAAAATTAGAGACAGAAACTCTACTAGTTATCTGATCACAGAAAATTTAATAGAAAAAGTTTTTAATAACCACTAAAAAGTAAAGGGATAAAGGTGGACTTTAAGAAATGGCAAACACAGAAAGCAGGTTAAACATCCCTAATTCAAAAACTCAAAATTTTAAAGGCTCCAAAATCCAAAATTTTTTGAGCACTGACCTGATGCCAAAAGTGGAAAATTCCAAACCTGATTTCGTGTGATGAGTTACAGTCAAAGCTTTGTTTCCTGCAAAAATTATTAAAAAATACTATATGAGAAGGTGGCTGGCAAGATGGCCGAATAGGAAAAGCTCTGGTCTGCAGTTCCCAGCGAGATCAACGCAGAAGGCAGGTGATTTCTGCATTTCCAACCAAGGTACCCACCTCATCTCATTGGGACTGGTTAGATGTGGGTGCAGCCCAAGGAGGGCAAGCCAAAGCAGGGTGGGGCATCACCTCACCAAGGAAGCCCAGGGGGTCAGAGAACTCCCTGCCCTAGCCAAGGGAAGCCATGAGTGACTGTGCGATGAGAAAGGGTGCATTCTGGCCCAGATACCACACTTTTCCCATGGTCTTCACAACCTGCAGACCAGAAGATTCCCTCAGGTGCCAACACCAGGGCTCTGGGTTTCAAGCACAAAACTGGGTGGCCGTTTGGGCAGACACCAAGCTAGCAGCAGGAGTTTTTTTCATACCCCAGTGCCACCGTAACACCAGTTAGATAGAACCGTTCACTCCCCTGGAAAGGGGGCTGAAGCCAGGGAGCCAAGTGGTCTAGCTCAGCAGATCCCACCCCCACGGAGCCCAGGAAGATAAGATCCACTGTCTTGAAATTCTCGCTGCCAGCACAGCAGTGTGAAGTCCACTTAAACTTGGTGGGGGGAGGTGCGTTCACCATTATTGAGGCTTGAGTAGGTGGTTTTCCCATCACAGTGTAAACAAAGCCACCAGGAAGTTTGAACTGGGTGGAGCTCACCGCAACTTAGCAAAGCTGCTGTAGCCAGACTGCCTCTCTAGATTTCTCCTCTCTGGGCAGGGCATCTCTAAAAGAAAGGCAGCAGCCCCAGTCAGGCGCTTATAGATAAAACTCCCATCTCCCTGGGACAAAGCACCTGGGGGAAGGGGCAGCTATGAGCGCGGTTTCAGCAGACTTAAACATTCCTGTCTGCCAGCTCTGAAGACAGCAGCGGATCTCCCAGTACAGCACTCAAGTTCTGCCAAGGGATAGACTGCCTCCTCAAGTGAGTCCCTGAACCCAGTGCCACATGACTGGGAGACAACTTCCAGCAGGGGTCAACAGACACCTCATATAGCAGAGCTCTGGCTGGCATCTGGTGGGTGCCCCTCTGGGACAAAGCTTCCAGAGGAAGGAACAGGCAGCAATCTTTGCTGTTCTGCAGCCTCTGCTGGTGATACCTAGGTAAACAGGGTCTGGAGTGGACCTCCAGCAAACTTCAGCAGACCAGCAGCAGAGGGGCCTGACTGTTAGAAGGAAAACTAACAAAGAGAAAGGAATGGTATCAACATCAACAAAAAGGATGCCCACACAAAAACCCCATTTGAAGGTCACCAACATCAAAGACCACAGGTAGATAAATCCATGAAAATGAGGAAAAAACAGCACAAAAAGGCTTAAAATTCCAAAAACCAGAATGCCTCTTCTTCTCCAAAGGATCACAACTCCTTGCCAGCAAGGGAACAAAACTGGATGGAGAATGAGTTTGATGAATTGACAGAAGTAGGCTTCAGAAGGTGGGTAATAACAAACTCCTCCGAGCCAAAGGAGCATATTCTAGCCCAATACAAGGAAGCTAAGAACCTTGAAAAAAAGGTTAGAGGAATTGCTAAATAGAATAATCAGTTTAGAGAAGAACATAAATGACCCGATGGAACTGAAAAACACAGCACAAGAACTTTGTGAAGCATACACAAATATCAATAGCCAAATCGATCAAGTGGAAGAAAAGATATCAGAGATTGAAGATCAATTTAATGAAATAAAGCATGAAGACAAGATTAGAGAAAAAAGAATGAAAAGGAACGAACAAAGCCTCCAAGAAATATGGGACTGTGTGAAAAGAACAAACCTACGTTTGATTGGTGTACGTGAAAGTGATGGGGAGAATGGAACCAAGTTGAAAAACACTCTTCAGGATATTATCCAGTAGAACTTTCCCAGCCTAGCAAGACAGGCCAACATTCAAATTCAGGAAATACAGAGAACACCACAAAGATACTCCTCAAGAAGAGCAACCCCAAGACACATAATCATCAGATTTACCAAGGTTGAAATGAAGGAAAAAATGTTAAGGGCAGCCAGAGAGAAAAGTCAGGTTACCCACAAAGGAAAGTCCATCAGACTTACAGCAGATCTCTCTGCAGAAATCCTACAAGCAAGAAGAGAGTGGGGGCCAATGTTCAACACTCTTAAAGAATTTTCAACCCAGAATTTAATATCCAGCCAAACTAAGCTTCATAAGCAAAAGAGAAATAAAATCCTTTACAGATAAGCAAATGCTGAGAGATTTTGTCACCACCAGGCCTGCCTTACAAGAGTTCCTGAAGGAAGCACTGTATGGAAAGGAAAAACCAGTACCAGCCACTGCAAAAACATACCAAATTGTAAAGACCATCAACGCTATGAAGAAACTGCATCAACTAACAATAAAAATAACCAGCTAACATCATAATGACAAGACCAAATTCACACATAACAATATTAACCTTAAATGTAAATGGGCTAAATGTCCCAATTAAAAGACAAAGACTGTCAAATTGGAAAAAGAATCAAGACCCATTGGTGTGCTGTATTCAGGAGACACATCTCATGTGCAGAGACATACATAGGCTCAAAATAAAGGGATGGAGGAATATTTACCAAGCAAATAGAAAGCAAATAAAAATGCAGCCGTTGCAATCCTAGTCTCTGATAAAACAGACTTTAAACCAACACAGATCAAAAGAGACGAAGAAGGCCATTACATAATGGTAAAGAGATCAATGCAACAAGAAGAGCTAACTATCCTAAATATATATGCACCCAATACAGGGGCACCCAGATTTATAAAGCAAGTTCTTAGAGACTTACAAAGAGACTTAGACTCCCACACAATAATAGTAGGAGACTTTAACACCCCACTGTTAATATTAGACAGATCAATGAGACAGAAAATTAACAAGGATATCCAGGACTTGAACTCAGCTCTGGACCAAGCAGATAATAGACATCTACAAAACTCTCCACCCCAAATCAACAGAATATACATTCTTCTCAGTACCACATTGCACTTATTCCAAAATTGACCACATAATTGGAAGTAAAACACTCCTCAGCAAATTCAAAAGAATGGAAATCATAACAAACAGTCTCTCAGACCACAGTGCAATCAAATTAGAACTCAGGATTAAGAAACTCACTCAAAACCATACAACATCATGGAAACTGAACAACCTGCTCCTGAATGACTACGGGGTAAATAATGAAATTAAGGCAGAAATAAATAAGTTATTTGAAACCAATGAGAACAAACACATAATGTACAAGAATCTCTGGGACATAGCTAAAGCAGTGTTTAGAGGGAAATTTATAGCACTAAATGCCCACAGGAGAAAGCGGGAAAGATCTAAAATCAGCACCCTAATATCACAATTAAAAGAACTAGAGAAGCAAGAGCAAACAAACTCAAAAGCTAGCAGAAGACAAGAAATAACTAAGATCAGAGCAGAACTGAAGGAGATAGAGACACGAAAAACCCTTCAAAAAACCAGTGAATTCAGGAGCTGGTTTTTCAAGAGATTAACAAAATGGATAGACCACTTGCCAGACTAATAAAGTAGAAAAGAGAGAAGAATCAAATAGACACAATAAAGAATGATAAAGGGGATATCAGCACTGATCCCACAGAAATACAGATTACCATCAGAGAACACTATAAACACCTCTACGCAAATAAACTAGAAAATGTGGAAGAAACGGATAAATTCCTGGACACATACACCCTCCCAAGACTAAACCAGGAAGAAGTCCAATACACCAATAACAAGTTCTGAAATTGAGGCAGTAATTAATAGCCTGCCAACCAAAAAAATGCCCAGGACCAGACAGATTCACAGCCGAATTCTACCAGGGGTACAAAAAGGAACTGGCTCCATTCCTTCTGAAACTATTCCAAACAATAGAAAAAGAGGGACTCCTCCATAACTCATTTTATGAGGCATCATCCTGATACCAAATCCTGGCAGAGACACAAAAAGAAAAAAAGAAAATTTCAGGCCAATATCCCTGATGAACATCGATGTGAAAATCCTCAATAAAATAGTCGCAAACCAATTCAGCAGCATGTTAAAAAGCTTATCCGGCCGGGCGCGGTGGCTCACGCCTGTAATCCCAGCACTTTGGGAGGCCGAGGCGGGCGGATCACGAGGTCAGGAGATCAAGACCATCCTGGCTAACACGGTGAAACCCCGTCTCTACTAAAAATACAAAAAATTAGCCGGGCGTGGTAGCGGGCGCCTGTAGTCCCAGCTACTCGGGAGGCTGAGGCAGGAGAATGGCGTGAACCCGGGAGGCGGAGCTTGCAGTGAGCCGAGATCATGCCACTGCACTCCAGCCTGGGCGACAGAGCGAGACTCCGTCTCAAAAAAAAAAAAAAAAAAAAGCTTATCCACCACGATCAAGTCAGCTTCATCCCTGGGATGCAAGGCTGGTTCAACATATGCAAATCAATAAACATAATCTATCACATAAACAAAGCCAATGACAAAAACCACATGATTATCTCAATAGATGTAGAAAAGGCCTTCAACTAAATTCAGCGGCCCTTCATGCTAAAAACTCTCAATAAACTAGGTATTTACTGAATGTATCTCAAAATAATAAGAGCTATTTGTGACAAACCCACAGCCAATATCATACTGAATGGGCAAAAGCTGGAAGCATTCACTTTGAAAACCAGCACAAGACAAGGATGCCCTCTGTCACTACTTCTATTCAACATAGTATTGGAAGTTCTGGACAGGGCAATCAGGCAAGATAAAGAAATAAAGGGTATTCAAATAGGAAGAGAGGAAGTCAAATTGTCTCTGTTTGCAGATGACATGATTATATATTTAGAAAACGCCATCATCTCAACCCAAAATCTCCTTAAACTGATAATCAACTTCAGCAAAGTCTCAGGATACAAAAGCAATGTGCAAAACTCAAAAGCATTCCTATATACCAAGAATAGACAGAGTGCCAAATCATGAGTAAACTCCCATTCACAATTGGTACAAAGAGAATATAATACCTAGGAATACATTGTACAAGGGATGTGAAGTACCTCTTCAAGGAGAATTACAAACCACTGCTCAAGGAAATAAGAGAGGGCACAAACAAATGGAAAAACTTTCCATGCTCATGGATAGAAAGAACGAATATCGTGAAAATGGCCATACTGCCCAAAGTAATGTATAGATTCAATGCTATCCCCATCAAGCTACTATTGACTTTTTTCACACAATTAGAAAAAACTACTTTAAATTTCATATGGAAGCAAAAAAGAGCCCATATAGCCAAGACTATCCTAAGCAAAAAGAACAAAGCTGGAAGCACCATGCTACCTGACTTCAAACTATATTACAAGGATACAGTAATCAAAACAGCATGGTACTGCTACCAAAACAGGTATATAGACGAATGGAACAGAACAGAGGCCTCAGAAATAATGCCACACATATACAACCATCTGATCGTTGACAAACCTGACAAAAACAAGCAATGGGGAAAGGATTCCCTATTTAATAAATGGTGTTGGGAAAATTGGCTAGCCATATGCAGAAAACTGAAACTGGATCCCTTCCTTACACTTTACACAAAAATTAACTCAGGATGGATTAAAGACTTAAATGTAAAATTTAAAACCACAAAAACCCTAGAAGAAAACCTAGGCAATACCATTCAGGACATAGGTATGGGCAAAGACTTCATAACTAAAACACCAAAAGCAATGGCAACAAAAACCAAAATTGACAAATGGTATCTAATTAAACTGAAGAGCTTATGTGCAGGAAAAGAAACTACCATCAGAGTGGACAGGCAACCTACAGAATGGGAGAATATTTTTGCAATCTATCCATCTGTCAAAGGGCTAATATCCAAAATCTACAAGAAACTTAAATGAATTTACAAGAAAAAAAACAAACAACTCCATCAAAAAGTGGGCAAAGGATATGAACAGACACTTCTCAAAAGAAGACATTTATGCAGCCAGTAAACATATGAAAAAAAGTTCATCATCACTGATCATTAAAGAAATGCAAATCAAAACCACAATGAGATACCATCTCACACCAGTTAGAACGGCGATCATTAAAAAGTGAGGAAACAACAGATGCTGGAGAGGATGTGGAGAAATAGGAATGCTTTTACACTGTTGGTGGGAGTGTAAATTAGTTCAACCATTGTGGAAGACTGTGTGGTAATTCCTCAAGGATCTAGAACCAGAAATATCATTTGACCCAGCACTTCTATTACTGTGTATATACCCAAAGGATTATAAAATGTTCTACTATAAAGACACATGCACAGGTATGTTTATTGCAGCACTATTCACAATAGCAAAGACTTGGAACCAACCCAAGTGCTCATCAATGATAAACTGGATAAAGAAAATGTGCCACATATACACCATGGAATACTATGCAGCCATAAAAAAGGATGAGTTCATGTCCTTTGCAGGGACATGGATGAAGCTGGAAACCATCATTCTCAGCAAACTAACACAAGGAACAGAAAACCAAACACTGCATGTTCTCACTCATAAGTGAGAGTTGAACAGTGATAACACATGGACGCAGAGAGGGGAACATCACACACCGGGGCCTGTCGGGGGGTGGGGGGCTAGGGGAGGGATAGCATTAGAAGAAATACCTTATATAGATGATGGGTTGATGGGTGCAGCAAACCACCATGTCACGTGTATACCTATGTAACAAACTGCACGTTCTGCACATGTATCCCAGAACTTAAAGTATAATAATAAAAAAAAAACTGCTATATGAAATTGCCTTTGCACTATCTGTATAGGATGTATATGAAACATAAACTTGGGTCCCATCCCCAAGATAGCACATTATGTATATGTAAATATGCCAAAAAAAATTAAAAATCCAAAACACTTCTGTCCCCAAGAATTCTGGATAAGAGATGTTCAACCTGTATCTCTAGGGCTGAAAGAGATGACACAATGAAGGAACTAAGAATTTGGAAGACCCTTTTCCCTCCAAGGCTGAGATTAAAGCCTCTTTGGAGAGGCCGTAGCCATCACAGAAGCACACAGGCCTCCAGAGGTAAAGAAATTTGCCAGGCTATGTGGAATAAAGCTGGTCTGCAGGAGCAGCCCATGGGATGGCACAGAAACCCACCAGAGGGTGCGAGCCAGCTGCAGCTGGCCCACAAGGCATGGCCTGCTGGGGTGCTGGTGGACCTGAGCTAGTCAGCAGGCAGAGGCCTCCTGGTAGCAGAAAAACACTCTGGAGAGTGAGGACTCCTGGACCTTCTGCATACTAGTGTGCTGGCAGCCATGCCATAGGAGAAAAAAGACCCCAAGAACCAGGAAAAGCTTTTTTTTTTTTTTTTCTGCCAGACTTGCAGCCCTCTCATGCCCTCTATTGGCAGAGCATAAGATTGCACCAGTTGGCAAAGGGGAAACAAAGGGTGGATCTGGAATTGAATGGCACCAAATTGATAACTGGCCTAAATGTATAGCCTAATTCCTAAGGATGCCACAAAGAAAAAAAAATTCAAAAATATTTAAGTAATTCAAAAACAAGAAGAAAGGGAGAATGAAGGAACAAGACACAAAAGGGATAAATAAAAAATGGTAGACTTAATCTCAAAATTATTATCCTAAGTGAAAGAAGTCAGACCCAAAAGAGTGCCTACTGGATGATTTCACTTATGCAAATTTTCAGAAAATGCTTCTTAATCTATAAAGACAAAAAGCAGAATAGTGGTTGTCTGCGACTAGAGAGGAGGGCAGGATAGGATTGGCTACAAAGTGGCATGGAGGAAATTTGGGGATGATGTAAATGTTCTATATATTGATTATCTTGGTGGTTTCATGGATATATATATTTGTCAGGAAATGCATCATTAAACTGTGTACTCTAAATGGATGCAGTTTATTGTACAACAATTTTACCTCAATACACTTTTTAAAAGACAATAGATAAAATGTATCAATAGGTGCAAGTGGGCTGAGCTGGAAGAGCAGGGGAAGAAGAGCTGAATGGCCATCCGATGGATGTAGTGCCCTTCCTACGCTGTGCTGTGCTTTGCAGCCTGTACATCACCAATGGAACTGAAGTCTTATGAACCCAGTCCCATCTAGAGAGTTACACAGCCTCAAAGATTCAGCTTTCCAGACCCAAGCATCATGGAGCTAATGTGGGTGGTACTTTGCTGTCCAAGGTATCTGCTATATTAATATAGCTACCCATGGTAGAATGAGAAAATCACCTGTTAGGTAGGACCTAGATAGAGACATCTCCTAGACATGCCTGGGCTCAAGCTCAGCCTCCAGGAGTTGGCTTCTGGCTTTGATGGACAGATAACTCCAGGAGCCCAACAGCCCCCTTGGAGGAGCACTGAAACGTGAAGGTACAGTGAACAAAGACAGGATGCTGAAGTTAGAAACCACATGGAGAGTCAGGACTGTACTAAATAACCAAGCATTTACTTCCCTTTCCCCCCTCCTTGGATGCCTTTAAAAATCAAAGCAAATAAATTTGTCCTTATGTAATTCACCAGTATGGTAAAGACCTCTCCCATACCTGTCAACTTTGGCAAACTTGAAATTGGATGATTTGGGAATAGGACAAGAAGGTTTTTCTGAGTCTAATAAAATGGGCTGTGAGCATTTCTTCAGATGAAACAAAAAGGAAAACACTTCAAAACAAAAATGCTCCAAGTAATTGATATATAGTTTACATTGCACATATAAAGCATGGAACTAATTGCTAAGTGGAAAGGGAAGTCTTGAGAACTGACCTTTCCAAACACAGTAATCTGCTTACAATAATACAAATAGAAGGATGTGAACTGAAGCCATAAAAATGTTTCTCTTTTAGTATATAAAATGTTAAAAGATCCATGGCCAAGCACAGTAGCGCACTCCGGTAATCCCAGTTATGTGGGGGGCTTAGGTGGTAGAATCCCTTAGCCCAGGAGTTCAAAGTCAGCCTGGGCAACATAGAAAGGCCCCATCAAAGATCCAAGTGGGCACCATTTCCTTTGAAGTCATCATTGTGGAAAACCATGCATTTATTCCCAAGCTTGTTCAGAAATTATATTTCGGAATTGAATTATTTTACCATATCTTAAATATTCTTTGTATCCACAGGGCTTCTTTATGCTGCAATCTGAACACAGTTATTCTGGAACAAACAACATAAAGTATAACATAATTGGTTAATATACTGGACTCTACAGATAATCAATAAATGTTGAAGTTCTTTGTCTTTCCTCACTAGTGATGAACTTTCTTATTCAGATTTCATTTTTGGCAATACAGAGAAGTCACTTGGAATAAAAATTACTCATTTGTTTACTCTTTATTGTACCCACTATGTTCCAGACACTGGTCTAGATCTGCACAGGGAAGATTGTCTTGATGCTTTAGAGTGAGTTTCAGAATCTGCCCTGGCAATGTGATTCAGCAAGTTACTGAAACTTCTGGGTCTGTGTTTTCTTCTGCAATAAAGGAGTAATAATAACAATGACATAAAAATGGTCCCTTTGGGTGGCTGTGTATTTATTCCGGAATGAAAGGTGTTATGGACTGAATTGTGTTTCCCAAAAACTGTTGAAGCCCTAACAATTTTGACAGTATTGGAGCTAAGGCCTTTAAAGAGGTTATTAAGGTAAAATGAGGTCATTAGGTCCTTGACTTGCATTAGCCATCTGCAAGTCAAGGAGAGGGGCCTCAGAAAGAACCAACCCTGCCAACATCTTGATGTTGGCTTTCACTTTCCAGAACCATGAGAAAATTAATTTCCATTGTTAAAGTCACCCAGTCTGTGATGCTTTGTGATGGCAGCCCTAGAAACCTAATACAAAGGGAATATGGATTTATTCCAGTCCTGTATGCTCCAGATAAGGCCATCCTTCCCGGCCTCCTCATTACCATTGGCAGAAGGGAAGAGGAAATGCCCAAGTATATAATAACCCTGGCTGGATTCCACCACCTCTCTCTTCGTTCCCCATTCTCTGACATTCACAGCTTTGCCAAATAGCTTACATTGATTCCAGCAAGGCTAATTCCTCCTTGCTCTCTACCTGATCATCACAAGAAGACCAAGACTCTCAGACTCCTGGTCACTCAGATCCTCTCCTTCTCAAATCCCTACTTTTACTCCAACTCCTAAAGACCTTTTCCTCTGTAACCTATAAAATCACAAGGCATTATCAACAAAATCTCTATTTCAATAATGTTTTTTGAAGAGTTCCCTTTGTTTTTCCGCTTTACAGAAACTGTTTTCCCTGAGAATACTGCTTCCCCTGCACTCTTCTCCAGGGCTGGTGATTTTCTCAAGCACATGCTTCCTATCACTGGGCCTGGTGACGGGGTAGGGTATTCTGCTTGTTCTTTGTAGCAGATCCTAAAACAATTTCCCTTTCTCTTCCCTAAACACCCAGCCTTGAAGCCTGCACCATTAGACAATGTATCATTTCCTCCTATTGAAGTCTTCAATGGACCTCGGCATCCCTAGGTTTTGTCTCCCCATTCCTTGTCACTCTCTCTAACGTGACTCACCATAATTCCTAGTGATTTTGAAATTCTTGGAAGTAAGACTCCCTGACCTCTCATTTTCTTGACATTCTCTTCTCCAAAAAATTTATCCTCTACTGTATATCTGCCATGACTCTCAGTCATATTCTAGATTGTCTTATGCTTTATCCATACTTGTCCTTTCTCTCTAAGTTCAGTTTGAAGACTTACACTCTGTTCATCATTTCTATATTTCATTCACTCATCCAATGAAATGAATGTTGTTCCAGGCACTGTTCAAGATGTTGGTGATATATGACTGATCCAAATGGGCAAAAATCTATACCCTTCTTGAACTTACATAGGATTGAGGGAGATGATAAACCAAATGTATACCATTTAATTTGTAATAAGTGCTACAAAAAAATAAAGCAAGAAAGAAGGTTAGGCAGTATTGAAGAGGTCCACTTATTTAAAGGGTGGCCAGGGAAATACACACACATACACACACAAAATATTTGAGCTAAGACCTGAATGCTGCAGGACTGAGACAGGAAGTCATCTGGAAGAAGACTGTTCCCAAAAGAGCAAATAGTAAATGCAAAGGACATGAGATGGGAGCTTATCTGGGTGTTCAAGAAACAATGAGTAGACCAGTGTGGTCAAAAAGGACCATGAGGGAGAAGGAGGAAATAAGGGTAGAAACATGGGTAGGGGATGGGAAAGCAGATCTTGTAGGGCAACCTAATCAGCCACGGTAAGGACTTTTGCTGTTACTCAGATGTGTCACCATTGAGACTTTTGAACAGAGGAGTGGTGTGATCTTCCCAATGTATTCCACAATACTTCAATTCTCAGAAACTCTTAACCTTACCAGGACCTTCAATCCACTGATCCAAACTCATTGTCCATCCTATAATCACTCCCTTAGAAATTCCCTCAACTTCTTTGCCTCTCACTCTGCAGTTTTCATCTGGAAAAAAAATAATCCCTAGTTAAATCTAACTTTGTGCCTACTCTGTACCTGCACTCCCACAGTTAACTGCAGCTGGAAACAAGCACCCAAACATACTGACTTAAATTCACAGTTACTAAACCAAGCTTTTAGTGTGCCCTGGCAATTCTGCTACATTCCTTTACCTCATTATCCCATAAGACTATTTCACAGCCTCTCTTCTCTTGACAAACCCCTCTCACCTCCTCCCCACCCTATCAGTTTATTTCCATTCCCTCACAAAACACAAACAAAAGAAAACTTCCATACCCTTCCAGTGCCGTGTTTACCAGCCTACCCCCATCTGTACACATACATCTCTGCCTTCCCTCCTGCTACTAAGGGAAGGTTGTCCTCACTCATTTCTCGGGCCTATGCTTCTGCTTAGACAATGGATCTTGTACCCTTTTACCCACTCAAGGACCTCCCTCAAGCCATTGTTCCCTCTCTATCCTGAATCACCAATTTTTCTCCTTTCTACTGGCTAATTCCTATCAACGTACATAATTTTAATCATTTCATCTTTAACTATATATATTTTTTATCCTACATCTCCTTCTACCAAATTCCATTTCTCTGTCCACTTTAAAGCTTGTCTATACTCATTGTTATGGGTTCAATTGTGTCCCACCAAAACTTTTATGTTGAAGTTTAACCCTCACCACCTCAGAATATGACCTTATTTGGAGATAGGGTCATTGCGGATGTAATTAGTTAAGACGAGGTCACGTGGGAGTAGAGTGGGCCCCTAATCAGAGATGACTAGTGTCCTTATAGAACACAGAGACACACAAGTGAAGATGAAGGCAGAGATCAGGCTGATGCAACAAAAGCCAAGGAACACCAAAGATTCCCAGCAAACCCCAGAAGCTAGGAGACAGGCATGGAGAGAGTCTCCCTCAAAGCCTCCAGAAAGAGCCAACCCTGATGACACTTTGATCATGGAGTTCTAGCCTCCAGAAATATGAGACACATTTCTGTTTTTTAAGTCACCTAGTTTGTGGAACTCTGTTTATGGCAGCCTTAACGAACTAATACAATGGCAATCTGATTTTCTCCTCCTGTCTCTTCTCAACCTACTCCAGTCAGGTTTTGCCTCCAGCATTTCAATAAAACAACTCATTTCTAAGTCTCCAATGGCATCCACATTGTTGAACAAAGAGGCTGATGTTCAATCCTTGTGTTAATTGACTTATCAACAGAAACAGTTGCTCAACCAACTTTCCTGACATACTTTCTGCACTTGCCTTCTAAGACACCATTTCCTTAAATACTCCTTCTACCTCATAAGTTGTGCCATCTAAATTCTTTTTTTTTTTTTTCTTTGAAACGGAGTCTCGCTCTGTCGCCCAGGCTTGAGTGCGGTGGCGCGATCTCGACTCACTGCAAGCTCCGCCTCCCGAGTTCAAGCCATTCTCCTTCCTCAGCCTCCCGAGTATCTGGGACTACAGGCGCCCGCCACTATGCCCGGCTAATTTTTTGTATTTTTTTTTAGTAGAGATGGGGTTTCACCATGTTAGCCAGGATGGTCTCGATCTCCTGACCTCGTGATCTGCCCGCCTCGGCCTCCCAAAGTGCTGGGATTACAGGAGTGAGCCACCGCTCCCAGCCCATCTAAATTCTTAATACTGGTTGTTCATCTTTCTGTTTTTCATTTAATATTATTATATTTGTGATATTCAGGCAAAATAATATGTATATGTAATATACATGTAGAAGTAAAGTTCATATGCTCAGTTCAATAATTATAAAGTCTTTAAGCACCACCTACACAAAGACATAGAACATTCTGAACTCCAGAAGCCCTTTATGTATGTACCCTTCCTAATGAAAACCTCTTCTCACTCAGAGGCACCAACTCACTTAAATTTTATGTTAACATTTTTTCCATAAGAGAGACATGTTTACGTTTCCCACCATGATTGTGTACTTTATTCTCCTTATAAGTCTATCAACTCTTGCTTTATATATTTTGAGACAATGCTATTAGAATTATAACAAATTTAAATTTTCATATTATCACAATGAACTAGATCTTTTATCATTTTGAAATCATTCTCATTATCTCTAGTAACACTTTTAGCATTAATGTCTATTTTTTCTATTAATAATACAGTTGTGCCAACTTTCTTTGGTTGATATTTCTATTTTTTGACTTTCAAACTCTCTGAGTCCTTATATATTTTAGATGAACTCTGGTAAATAGCATATGCTACTAGATGGAATTTTAATTTAGGCTGATAATCTTTCTAATTTTAACTTGAACATTTAGGACATTTACATTTAATGTAATTTTACTAACATTGTGAGGTTTAAGTCTATTGTATTTGTTCCATCTCTTTTGTTCTCCTTCCTTTCCTCTCCTTTCTTGCATCCATTTGGATTGCCAATATTTTTATTTCATTCTATTACACTTTCTGTGGGTTTGGCAATTATGCTTTCTGTGCTCCTTTAGAGATTGTTCTGGGAATTATAATATGCACACTTAAATGATCAAAGTCTAAAGTTAATCAAAACTTCCACATTGTTTTCAGATAATATAAAACTTTAGAAAAATGATATTTTGATTCTTTTTCTTAAATCACTACATATTATTACTGCTTCATACATCTAATGTTTATGTTTTTCCACATATTCTCTACTTTCTTTGCACATAATTCCTTCTGTTCCTCAGTCCCATCTGGCATAACTTTCTTTTTACTTAAAGTACATCCTGTAATACCTCCTAGTGATTAAAAAAAACTTCAGTTTTTGTTTATATGAAAGTGGTTTTATTGTGTTCCCATTCTTGAAATATATTTTTGCTAGGCATAGAATATTAGTTTGGTAATCCTTCCCTTTTGGCATATTTAATACACCTTCTGACTTCTTGCTGTTTAAAAGTCAACTGTCATTTTAATTGCTACTTCTTTGAAGTCAACTTTCTTTTTTTTTCCTCTGGCTGCTTTTAAGATTTCTACTCTTATTTAATTTTTATATTTTCTTTTTATGCTTCTGATTCACTTGAATCTGTGTATTAAGTCATTTCAATCAATTCTGGAAATATATCACATATTATGTCTTCAAATATCACTTCTGCCTGATTTTCTCTGCTTTTGGGGGGATTCTGATCTCTATCTCCTCCATGTCCCTTACTCTTTCTTCTGAATTTTCTATCTTATTTTTTCTTCTATGTTATATTATGGATAATTTCTTCTGATATATGTAGTACTTTACTTGTCTAATGAGTCTAATCTGGCCAAACATATCCACTGAATTTTTAATGCTAATTATTGAATTTTTTATTTTGGGAAGTTCTATATATTTTTTCTGCAAATCTTCTGTTGTTTTTATAGATGCTTGTTCTGTTAATATTTTTAAACATGTGACTTATTTCTTTAAACCAGGAAACAATTGTTTCAGAATCTGTGCCTGATAATTATAGCATTTGAAGTGTTTGTGCCCTATTCCTATATTTTTGGGGTGGTGGGGGTGTGGGGAAGCAGCTGGTTCTCACTTATGTTGTCTTATTTCTTTGTGAGCTTGCTTACTGTTACTTGCACATTGCTTTTGAGAAATAATTTGTAAAGAGTGCCCGATGTCTAGAATGAATGGCCTTCCTCCAGAGATGCTTTTTGCTTTCTTCTGCCAGGTCCCCTGGAAAGAAGACCACTTTCAGCCAACTGCATGTCCTAAGGTGGCCCAGTGCTCCCAGGGAACCGGTATAGGCAGATGTATGTCTCCACAAAGGCCAATTTGTTGTCACAACTTCTCAGGAATGGGTTTTCTTTTTCTTCTTTTTGCTTCCTGCTCTGTTCAGCAGAAAGGCAGGCTTCTCCACAGTCCCCTGTCACTGTGGCAGGGAGGCAATAGGGTTTCATTACTTTATCCTTCCTTTAGGTTTAACCCTTTGGAGTCCCAGCTTAATGTTGGGAAAGACTTCTTTAAGACATCCCATTGGCAGGAGGCCCTGGACATCTGTCTCTTAACTGAAGCCCAAGTATGCAGTGTCAGCACTTGGTGCTTGGTGCAGCAACCACTTGGTGAGGTGTATCATGCCTGTAGTTCCAGCTACTCAGGAAGCTAGGGTGGGAGGATCACTTGAGCCCAGGAGTTCAAGGCCAACCTGGGCAACATGGCAAGACTCTATCTCTTTAAAAAAAAAAAAAAAATTAAGACCCATGTAAAAGACTTGCTATTCTACAAATCTGCCATATTATTGCTTACCTCCAGACCTTTGTACACACCCCTCCTTCCTCTTGTTCATGTAACTCCTATTTGCTTTCTTTAAAACTAAGTTGAGAAACCACTTGCTCCAGGAATCTTTCCTTGATTACATATTAGTCTGGGTTTGATGCCTCTCCTATTTTTTTCTCACAGCATGCTGTGCATATGTCTACCACTGCATTGATCAAACCCATAGTGAATGCATCTGGTTTACTTGTCTGTGGTCCCCCAATAGCTGATAAATATCTTGAGGGAGCTAGGATCAACTTATTCGTCATTATTTCCCAAGTTCTTGCATAGTACTCAACAAATAACAGGCATTCGATGTACTTACTTAAATGAATGAATGACTTGTGTGTAAAGAATATTTGAAAAGAAAAATTTCAAAAAAAAAGAAGCTATAAAAGTCTGCAATACAGCTATTTTATTTGAATAAACTCACAATCTCTTCAGGAGATTCCTTTGAAGGGGACAAATAATATGGTTGCTTGCAGGTGTCTGCAAGTATGTGGTGTTTTTCATAGTTTCCTCCTCTTTTACTACAAACCTCCTTGAAGGTTTAATCTATTGTGCAGAGGAAAAATAAAACCCAAACCTAAAAGGCAGGAGGGATTGTAAATAGCTCATTTATATCTGGGCATCGAGAAAGGTATTATTTTTGACTCCACTCTTCATCCTATCATTTTCCAAAGACAGACAATTGGCTTGCCAAATAGAATAATCACCATCCTTCCTGTGGCCCTCCCAACACTGCGGGCGGATAATATATAGGCCTCGAGAGCTTATCTCCCCATCATCCCTTGTATCAACTTTGGCATTGTCTCTGCCCCCCTTTAAATGGAAGCCTCAATGGACACTATAGATCATAAGACTTCCACCAAGGGCTCCAACACAAACAATTACTAAAAACATTGATAAATGGTTTGCTTTATGAGAAAAAATGCATCATTTATTATGTGATGTTTATCCTAGTTAAAATGAAGTTCCTCCAAATGCAGCATTTGTGACTTACAGAGAAGGGGGAAGAGAAGTGAGAGAAGGAGAGTTGGGACTGTCCATTTGAAGAGATGTCGGATCTAGGCAGAAAGCCAGCAAACCATTTCAGTGCGAAGGAGCAGCTCTTCGGTGTTCTCTGGTTTGTTTACAAATCTCTTTCTAAGTCCAGGGTCCACATCCATTGGCTCTATAGAGTCAAAACTTCCTGGGAAAGAATCATATAAAAAATTAAAAAGAGAGTAAAAAACAAATTTCTTGTCAACAGAAGCTCTTAGGTCAGCCTGGGTACCCTGCCCAACATCTTTTGTATATGCCTCAGAAGATTTGCAGATGTGAGTCTATCAAATTACTTTGAGGATGAATTGAAATGTAATCACCCTGGCTAGCCCAATTTTCAGTGACCATATCAGAATGAGCTGCAGTATAACCCCCAAGATCTCAGTGCTAAACACAACAAACATGTATTTCTCACACACTCTACACGTCTAATGCAGATCAGCGATGGTGGGTGGTATCTGGATCATTTTAGTCACTCTAGGACACAGGATGATAGAGAATTCCTCTCCATGTACGCTTCACAACCACCATGGCACAAGAAAAGCAATATGGTAAATTACATGCTGGCTGTTCAAGCTCTGCAGAAAGTGACATCACTCCTAGTCACATCTCATTGGCCAAAGCAGGGCACATGGCCACACCAAGTTTCAAAGGGGATGAAGAAGCATCATCTTACCCCATGCCCAGAAGGCCAGGCAAACAGGAATGTTTGTAAACAGTTTTATTTCAATCACAGTGACCCTTCCCACATTTTCATATGCACTGCCATAAGCTATTTTAGTGGATACTATCTTTAGCAGGCTCTCTCAAAGCTGAAAATGAGGTGAGCCCACCTTGGGAGGGAAATGATTGACTTTTCTAAAGCAGAAGACTAACCACATAAGGATGCTGCAGATGGAATTCAAGCACCAGGGTGAAGACTGAGTTAGATTGACTGGTAAGCCCTTTCCAAGCCAGATTCTATAGTTCCAGGATATACAGGAATGCTAACCTAGGCTATTTTTGTTAATTCAGGCTAAAAATTTGCCAGTTCAGGCTAAAGATAAAGCAAATACACCATAGTGGAATTTTTTGGCTTTGAATTGTCCAGATAAATTATCCTGATGCTTATTAACTCATTCAACAATGAATGAATTACTTAATGTGTGCCAATAAAGGAGGAAGATGTGATGGGTGCTATCATGATGGGAAAAATATTTATTAGGTAGTTGTTTCTAATTCCTGAGTCCCAAGGACAGTGGATATTGAGAATGATCTTTAATTTTGTTGAACAAGGCTTAAAGATAGGTATACAAACTGAAAGAGAAGGCTAGTTTGCAACATGAGGAAAGTGATAAAGACATCTGGAAGGAAAGATCCCAGATATGGGGAGGATATTGGAACGTGTGTGGCTAAGAAAGGGCTGTAAATGGAGAGACAAAAAGAGAAGTAGGCAAGGGAGTAGGTGTGGGGGAGGAAGAACAGCAAATAGGGCAGTTCCCCATGAATGAGACCTCTGGGAAAGGAGTTGAGGCATTTAAAGGGGATGGTGGGATAACTTTTGCTGTGCAGAGTATAATACAATTCTCTCCTTTCAAAGCCCTCCTACATAAGCTAGGAATGTTTTACAATATATAATTGTATTTTGGGGAAATTGATGATATACCTAAATTGGCCCCATGGATAACCCAAGGTCTTTGCAGGTTATCCTGACCAGCATCATAGAAAAAAATAAAGCACAAATACAGGTGCAGGGAAATCCAACTTTGTTGAAGAAGAGGAATAGGGAGGGATTCAAAGAGAAGACGTAATAAAGTGAGACTTTTAGGGGCCTTGAGATAGAATGAATGTATTTGCATGTGGGAGAAATGTGAATCACTGGAGGCCAAAGGGTGGACTGTGGCAGACAGACTCCAAGAGAACCCTCAGTGAGTCACACCCACATATAATCCCTTCCCCTTGAGTGTGTGTATGAAATAGTCGACTTGCTTCTAGCCAAAAGAGTGTGTCAAAGTGAGAGAGACTTAATTCCTTGATTGTTATGTTATACAAGTCTCTGTCTCAGCAAACTATAGCAAAAGATTCTCTTGCTGGCCTTAAAGAAGAAAGTCACCATATTGTGAGAGGGTCTGTGAGGGGGCCATGTGGCAAGGAACCGTGGGGGCCTCTAGGGTCTGAGAGTAGCTCCCTCTGAGAGTCCAAATGCAAGCAGAAACATCAGTCCTACAACCACAAAGAACTGAATTTTGTTAAGTACCTCATGAGCTGGGAAAAGGACCATGAGCTTCAGAAAGGAAGGCAGCTCAGCCAACACATTGGCGATAGCCTTTGAAATCCTGACAAGAGGACCAGCTAAGCCATGCCAAGATGTCTGACCCACAGAAGGTATGAGATAATACACGTGTGTTGTTTTAAGCTACTAAGTTTGTGACAATTTATTATGTAGCAATAATAAACCAATACAAGAGGTGAGTATCAAGGACTGAATATATGAGCTCACTCAGTGGGAAGAGAGAAAAAGCTCTATAAGCAGAATCAATAGCACTGGGGCATGGGAAATGATGGCTTATTTGGGGGACTGTGAGTGGTTAGGTATGGCTGGCCTAGAGGGAGAGCCACAGGAAGGGTGGGAGATGGGGGGCTACATAGAGGGGCCAGACCATGGAGAACACACCTTATATCCTACAGGGGGAGTTTAGGCTTTATTATATATTATACGGAGTGCTCGACAAATACTTTTTGCTCTGTTTTCAGATATCTAGGACTTATCTGAGAGAAAAGACAAGGTGTAAATCATGGCTACCCTGGCTGCCTCCTGTCTCTCAGCCTGCTGCCCCATCCCAGGGAGTCCCTACTCAGTGGAGCAACAACACACAACTGTTCCAAACAACAAACTGCTCCACACTCCTCAAGAGTAGATAACATTTTCTTGTTTCTGAACCCAACAGCTGAAACCAATCTACTATTTACTTTATTTATTTAATATATATTTGTTGAATATCTATTAAGTGGATCCATCACTTTTGTCAACAAAAAGAGACAAACACTGTAAAATATTTAAAGAGGTTTATTCTAAGCCAAATAAATGACCATGGCCCAAGGGACAGTCTCAAGAGGTCCTGAGAATATGTACCCAAGGTAGTCAGGCTGCAGCTTGGTTTTATACACTTTAGGGAGACATAAGACATCAATCAATACATCTAATGTATACTTTGGTTCAATCCAGAAAGGTGGGACAACTCAAAGTGAGGGCTTACAGTTCATAAGTGTATTCAAAGATTTTCTGATTCATAGATGGTTGAAAGAGTAAAGTTATTATCTAAAGACCTGGAATCAATAGAAAGGAGTTTCTGGACTAAGATAAGGATTGTAGAGACCAAAGTTCTTACTGTGTAGTTGAAGTCTTGTAGGTGGCTGCCCTTGGAGGCAATAGAAGGTAAATGTTTTCCATTCAGACACTTAAAATGAGCTAGACCTTTCTGCTAATCTCTTCAGGATCAGAAAAAAACCTGGAAAGGGAAAGGGATTCTGTACATAATGTAAATTTCTCCCACAAGAGACAGCTTTGTGGGGTTTTTTAAAAATATGTCTCGAACTCCTGACCCCTAGTGATCTGCCTGCCTCAGCCTCCCAAAGTGCTAGGATTACAGGCGTGAGCCACCACTACTCAGGAGGCTGAAGCAGGAGAATTGCGTGAACCTGGGAGGCGGAGGTTGCAGGGAGCCAAGATCGCATCACTGCACTCCAGCCTGGGTGACAGGGCAAGACTCCATCTCAAATAAAATAAAATATAAAATAAAATAAAATATAAAATAAAATAAAATAAAATAAAAATACGTCAAAGAAATATATTTTGGGGTAAAATATTTTCTGATTTCTTTCAGGGTTATCTGTCATGTTATGCTATACTCAAGTCAGGTTGGAATTTGATATTGTATTACTATGAAGATTCAGTTTTGTCATTATTAAGATGTCTGTTTTAATAGTTTCTTTTAATTTTTTTTAATTTTTTATTTTATAAAGACAGGGTCTCACTCTGTCATCCAGGCTGGAGCTGCAGTGGCACAATCATAGCTTACTGCAACCTTGAACTCCTAGGTTCAAGCAATCCTCACACCTCAGCCTCCCAAAATGCTAGGATTACACACACAAGCCACAAGCCACCATGCCTGGCCTCTGTTTTAATGCTGGTCAGTTGTGCCTGAACTCCAAAGGGAGGAGAGTATAATGAGACATGTCCCATCTCCCCTTCTCATGATGGCCTGAACTAGTTTTTTAGTTTTCTTTATAATCCCCTCGTCCAAGAGGAGGTGTCTATTCAGTCAGTTGGGGAGTTTAAAATTTAGTTTTTGTTTATACTTTTTACAGTTGCTGGGGACACAACAGTGAACGAGACCTTCTTTCAGGGCTTATATTTTAGTAAGTGATGTTAGTAACCAATGCTTCAGTTTTCACATAGCAACTTCTTTTTTTTTTTTTTTTTTTTTTTTTTTTTTTTTTTTTTTTGAGACGGAGTCTTGCTCTGTCACCCAGGCTGGAATGCAGTAGTGCAATCTTGGCTCACTGCAAGCTCTGCCTCTGCCTCAGCCTCCCGAGTAGCTAGGACTACAGGCACCCACCACCATGCCCGGCTAATTATTTGTATTTTTAGTAGAGACGGGGTTTCCCCATGTTAGCCAGGATGGTCTTGATCTCCTGACCTCATGATCTGCCCACCTCGGCCTCCCAAAGTGCTGGGATTACAGGCGTGAGCCACCGCGCCCAGCCTTTTTTTTTTTTTAAGTAGAGACAGGGTCTCCCTAGGTTGCCCAGACTAGTCTCAAACTCCTGGGCTCAGGTGATCTTTTCACCTTGACCTCCAAAAGTGCTGGGATTATAGGCATGAGTCACCCTGCCTGGCCTTCATGTAGCAATTCTTCACTCTGTTATAAGACTTGACCGTTAGTTTTAAGTGCTTTACAGAGGAAGTCAAAATAACTGTCATGCTCATATCCACTTCTAAGCCAAACCGCTTGCTCTGTGTGCAGACATGTTTTTCTATCACATGATACCCCCACCGCTACCCTACACAATCCAACCACAGATAATTGGACCAAGACAGAGCACTTGGTTCAAGAGCCACAAACACTTGGCTAACCAACAACAAATGATCTAGTATTTCCACAAGGTAGGCCAATCAGATTGTCTCAGGAATCTGAGCAAAAATAAAAATAAAAAAAATCAGAGAAGGAGCCAGTTAACAGAGAGTTGGAACTGGAAGACTAATGAAAAAACAACCTACAATAAGGGTGACCACACGACTTGTCATCCAAACTGAGACACTGAAGAGTGAAAGAGGACACCAAAAATTATTAAAATTATACAACTAAAATTAGTGCAAATTATACAAGTGTTACCAAAAATAAAATAAGGAGTTTTACATTTATACCACACCATAAGTTACAAAACCACCTTAGCAAGAACGTTCAAAATGTGCTCTATAGGCTCTATGCCAGGACTGCTCAGCCTCTATTTTCTGCATTTAGTTCACATACCTCACCAATAATTTTCTAAATTTCTCAATGGCCTGTGATAACTTTGTGCATTTCACAGGCTCAGGCCACAGCACAGCTACCTGGTTGAGCAAGTGGCTGGCTGAGGCAGCAATGGAATACTTCTCCCATAGCCCACAAGGCCAGAGGGTTAGCTATCGCCATTCCTAGCTAAAGTGCATACATTATGCATCACTTAATGAGGGGGATACATTATGCATCACTTAATGAAGGGGATACATTCTGAGAAATGCATCGTTAGGCAATTTCATCGTTGTGTGAACATCAAAGTGTGTGCTTATACAAATCTAGGTGGTATAGCCTGCTACACACCCATGCTATATGAGATAGCCTATTGCTCCTAGGCTACAAACCTGTCCAGCATATTACTGTACTGAATACTATAGGCAATTTAACATAATGGTAAGTATCTGTGTAGCTAAACATATCTACACACTGTGCAGTGTAGAAAATGTACGGTGAAAATATGGCATTATAACCTTATGAAACCACTGTCAGACAATCAGTCCATCGTTGACCAAAATATCATTATGCAGCACATGCCTGCACTTTATGGGTGAGTGCCCTAAATCCTACCCTTTACAGAGGGTGTTAGTTACATTGTATTAATAAAGAGTCTGGAAAAGAGAAACAGATTATCGTGGCCTTCTTTCAGATTTAATCCTGGATTAAAATGATACCCAGTTCATTTCACTTGCATTTCACATTTTACTAGACAGAACCATGGTAAAAGCTTTGGTGATGGTCTACCAAAGTCATCCTGGCTTATTTTAATGCTACTCTTAACAATAAATATCATTAAAAATGAAAAATTCTGGACAAATGTAAAACCACAAGAAATGCCAGACATTATAATTCACCTTAATTTTCCTGAGATAACTTGATCTTGGTTTGAAAACAAAAGAACCCAATTATAGTAGTACACCATATGGAGTAGTTAGAATTCTTTTGGCTGCATGCAACAGAAAACTCAATTTAAACTGGCCTATATTAAAAGGAAATGTATTCGGTCACATAACTATACAACCTGGCTTCAAACAGGTCTGGATCTGGATCTCAATTGACATCAGCAGGATTGATCTCCTATTTCTGCTTCCTCTGAAGGAGCTACATCCTCAGTCTCCTGGCCATGTCTCCCAACAGTCCAGGCTCTCTCCTCATGGAGATAGTGGCTGTAAACCTCCTGGTGCTACCCCAACCCACAGAGTGTGTCCCAGCATCTCAGCGAAAGTCCTAAGATTGACTTCGATTGGATCCACCCCTGAAGTAACCATGAGGTCCACAGAAACAGCACAAATTCTTGAGTTAAACCACACAGCACCCTCCTCTGGTGCGCAGGGTGGGTAAATTCCTGTCTAACCCTCATGAGAAAGATCCTGGTTGATCATGCACCAAATTGTTGTCCTTTTCCTCATGGGCCTAGTCCTTGTGACCAAGTGACTGAGTTCCAGTAAAGGTGTTCAGAATACACCACTGTGGCACAAAAATCATTTGGGACTGGAGGCATGTGAGGATCAACAGATGCAAAAACGTTTTTTTAACTCCTCTTACCTGCCTAAAAACAGAAAGAATTCAACTGTCATAAATCCCATCCCAGGGCAGAGAACATCAATTCCTATCACCAGAAAAGAGATGTCAACATCAGAATAAGAAATCACCTAAACAGAAGTTGTCACAAAACTATCATATCTCCAATCTATTCTCCTACGGGCCCATTTACCTTTCTTAAAAGTCATTGGTTTTCCTGTAAGTGCCTTTCACCCCACACTTTCCCTATTAAGATGGTATATAAACTCCAAATTCTAATTACCTCCTTGAAGCATATTTTTCTGTGAACTCCTGTGTACTACATCAATAAAAATCTGTCCTTTCTTTGCCAATCTGTCTTTTGTCTGTTTAGTTTGCAGGCCCCCAGTCACAAACCTAAGAGAGTAGAGGAAAAGTTTTTCCTCCCTAACACAGCCAATTGAATGAGAGCAGAAGTGAAGTACACCCCTCCAAGCTCGGCCTATAAAATGTGCCACACACTCCTCTAAATTGTTCCAAACATTCTTAAAGTTGTCCAATAACTGAATTAAATATCATTTGTTAAATTTAAAGTTAAATGAATAGAAATTAAATTAAAAATTCAGTTCATGTTTAATTGCCTCAATTTTTCTAGCATTTCTTAAACATTGCTGAATTGGCCCCAGATATATGATACTAAATTTTGGTCATTTGCCTAAGTTTTCAGATCAGAGAATGTACTAAGGCTTAGAATAAGTGCTAAATCCTATGGTTCTCATGTTGTTCATAAATACCTGCCAAAAATCAACTATAATTATTGTTCTCTTGATATACAATTAAATAAAAGAGAAGAATGATGATCATTAAGAGCATGTGACATAACATAGTGAAAGGGTGCACACACTAGAAGGTAGAAGAATTGAGCCTCAGTGTTCCCTGTGCTACCTATCAATTTCCTGACTCAGGGTTCCAAATCCACCCCTCATTGCCCTGCCTAGCCTGCTGGCACACCTGCATGACGTTAAGCTCTAGCATCAGTAGAAAACATGGGAGGGACACAGGCTGAAGAACAAGCTTTTCCTCCTGGTTCCTGGGCTGGTGCGCATGGAACACCAAATGAAGCTCTCCCCTAACAAACGTAAGTGGAATGCCAGTGGGTACCATGGGTGCTTACCCTTTCAGTAAGTTTAGTAACATCCTCCATGGGCAGCTTCACCAGGAGTTTTGAAAGTGCCCTAGCTTCAGCAGCAATCCTCCTAAACAGGTGGATTCATGTGAGTTCCATGGGTTCCCCAACTGGCCTCATGGTGAGTGCAGGAGCACTCCTTTCAAGGCAGCTTCCCTGTAAATTTCATCAGCACCCAGCAGGCAGTTTCCTGTCAGTCTAGGCTTGCTCAGGCAACCCTCTGACTTTCTCTGCCGTTTAGTGAACTATAACCATACCTTCTCCAATAAGGTCTGAATCCCATCTTTGGGGAGGGCACCCCTTTTCAAGTTTGTCTTTTACTGGGTATGCTCTCAGAGCCCTAAAGTATATTCTAAGAATTCTTTCCTCTCCCCTTTTAGTGAAGTTCCTGTAAATAGTAATTCTTTTTATAAAACGTTCTTGTTCAAGTTACTGTGTGGTTTCTGTCTCCTGCCTAGACCCTAACCGATACACCTTCTTGTCCAGGTGATATTGGGTGAGACAGGTCACATCTCCAGACCTTGTGAGTCCTTTCTGGACTTAGAAAGTAGCTTTCTGTCAGTTGATACCTATTAAAAAGCAACATCACCATTTTTTATGAAATTATTAAGACCACTGACTTCTCAGTTTGAGAAAGAAGACATAAAAATGATTACAATTCAGCTTTTACTGATAACCTGTGAGAGTTGAGAAATGTCTTGCTGAAGTAAATGGCAAATGAAACTAATATTATCCCACTCTAGTGAGACAATCATGTTGGCAGCTTTTTTTTCATATTTCGCTTTGTTGAATGATATTTTCCTCTAGTGTGGATCTCCAAGAACCAGGAATAGAGAGTGCATGAGGAATTCCATGCAAGACTAAAGCTGATCTCGGTCTTCTTGTGCTACTGGACACTCAGCAAGGCAGGCTTCTTCAATTATTCACACTACCTTTCCCACAAGATGAATCTCATTCAGGCTGTCATGTGCCCATCTCAAAGCCCAGTGCTATAAACACCCTGGGCGAAGGCAACGTGGCATTCTCTAGACTTCCGTGGCCTGCCTGGTGCTTGGGCCTCAGGCTAGAGTGGCTCTGCTCTATGGGAATTTCAAACAGAAATTTTACTGGGGGAAAAGCACCATGAAGCATTCAACAAGAGGAATAGTTAGAAGCAGAAATCATACTGCTGTCAATCAGGAATCACCAGCTCTGATCCTTTCTGTACAGATGAGACAAAAGAAGAAAATATGAAAGGAAATGATGGGGCAAAAGGAAGTATTTACTAGCACCACCAGATCTGATTTGGGCACTTCAAGGAAAACAGTAAATAAAAGAATCTCTATTATCAAGGCAATTGAAAAGGAGAAAGATTCAAGTCAGAAAACAGGAGGGCAACTGGATAAGAGACCAAATCCAAACTGATTTTAAATCAAACAAAATAACATGAAAAGTATTAAGTATGTTATATCACAGGTGTTTTGTATATCATCTTCATTTTCTGATTTTAATTCATCGGGTTTTAGAACCCTAATTACTGTAGCAATGGGGAGGAAACAAACTTTTTTCTCTACCCTCTTAGGTTCAGTCCTTGGGGCCCTGCAAATTGAACTTAGATCAACAGGAGAGAGTGGTTATTTTATAAATATGGTGGAGGGCCTCACAGAAATAAAATGAAAACTCCAAAAAGGTGGTCAGACCCAGAGGCTCATATACCATTTTAACAAAGAAGAATAAATTTGTGTAGAAATGACAAAACAAAGGAATAGAGTTTTGAGCTTCTAGGAACAGTAAATTGTGACAAGATAAATATATGAGGAACCTAATGGAAGATAAGGATTGTTTAGTAAAGTTTGTGCAGGCCCATCTTGATGCTGACTTTCTGTCTCCTTCAGGGCCATAAAACTTCCCTGGTAGAGAAGACTCATGGCAGTCCTCATTTCTCGGAAGTTTCTGCTCTTAGTCAGATAAGAGAAGGTCTAAGAAGGCTTCTTTCTATACCTGTTGATTCTCAATGGCCTGCAGCTCAAAATAATTTTTATGCCAAAGTGGCATATTTTGGGGTGGCATATTCTGATCTCCTTCCACAGCAATAACGATTATAACACCATCTTGAATTTATCTAGAGAGATGTAGACTCTTTAGCAAGCACTATCATCATGAATATAATGGCTCTCTCATTCTGAAATAAATGTTATGTGAATGTTTAAAGTTTTGTAAATGCTAATTTCTAGTCAGGAAAACAAATCAATTCAGGAATTAGCCACAACAGGAAACTAACATGAAAAATTACAAGTTATTTCCAGATTACATGAAACTATCCCCGAAATAGGCAGCTATTGTGCTTCACAAAGCATTTTCTTATTCATTCAACAAAAATGTATTCAGCACTACTAAGCATCAGGTATTATTCTAGGCACAGTGAATAAAATAGACAAATGCCAGCTCTTACAAACTTACATTCACCATTTCATTGGGCTCTTAGTCCTACCTTTTTGAGACAAGTTGTCCAGCATTAACCTCAAAACTGCCACCAGAAACAAAGATAACCTGTTAGTGCAGCATGTTGAAGAACGGGGTGGCGAGTAATACTATGAAACTTGAAATCACATATTCAACATTTTAAATCCTGATTCAAATCCTACATCCATCTATTATTAACTATGTGATCTTTAGCAAATAACCAAATTTTTCTCAGCCTCAGTTTCCTGTTCTGTAAAATGGAGATGGCAGCAGCCTAACCCTTCATGTAAGGGTGAAAACTAAATCAAAATATGGACACTCTGTGAAGAGCTTTACATTCAAAAGGCTTTCTAAGGAATGGAATGGAATAGAATGAAACTGGCTTGGATTGAATTAGATTGACAGGAGTACTATAAAACCAACAGGGAGGAGATTGTGGATGGGAGTAGTCTCTTGCTTGTCTCATGCATTGCCTAAGAATTATTTAGAGTTGATTCAAGAGAATTGCAGTTTGTAAATCACTTGGACAAAATCAAATCCTTGTTTATCCTAATAGTCACAAAGTTTCCACTTATGAAGTGTTTATTAAGTGACTGGCACTTCATGAGTCAGACTCTTTAGGTACACAGTTTCATTTAATCATTACAAATCTCAAAGAAGTAGATACTATTACTTAGGGAGCTGAAAGACAGAAACAGTTGTTAGAATTCAAAGCCAAAGGTCTGCTTTGTGACAGCATTGCATAAAGCCTAACAGCTTGGCCATCACCCTCTTATCCAGACCATTGTGGTGGCCTTTTCAAGAGTTTTTCCAACCCCATCACTACACCCTCCAGCCTATCCTCCATATTGTGGCTAGAGTGCTATTTTTAAACATATTTACTCTGCCTTTAATCTGCTTAAAGCCATGTAACACAGTGATTCTCAAACTTTAACATGCACAGAGGACACTGTTCAAGTACAGATTCCGATGCAGTGGGTCTTGGGCGGAGCCCGAGGGTCTGCTTTCCTAGCAAGCCCCCAGGGATGCAGCTGCTGCAGTTCCCAGAACCACACTCGATGGAGCTAGGCTTTCTTAGAGCCTCACCACATGCAGAGCCAAGTCCAAATGCACTACTTCAACACACCGCATAATATTCTTTTTCTTTCCTACTCCCAACTAGCTCCAACAGCCCCACGTCCGTACTTTTAACAAACAGAGCTACTTCATGTCCATAGTAAGTTTTCCTTCTGCCTTGTTGAATAGTATTTCTATGGCTAGATTGCCCCTTCATGACACCCTGCCTCACCCACTCTTGCCTCCCCTTCAGTCCCCTAGAGTTCCTGCCAGTCCCTTAACACTCAACTCAGTAGCCATTTGGATGAAGCCCCTCCCAGGTAGGATTAACTGTTCCCTTCTCTGTACCCTGCAGCACTTGGTACTGTCTCAGAAGTAGCTATCTTGTTTGTATGCCTAGATCTTTAAGTGCCTATTTCCATCTCCAGACAGGCACTCCTTGCCTTCCTAATTCATGTTTATATCTGGAGTTTGCTTAGTGCCAAACATCAACAATGGTTGTAAAGTTGGCTTGCACTAAGGAAACTCAAACCACTTTCAGAATGCTACTATAGACACCAGAAGGATCTGTATAAGGAGTGGCTTTCCAGAACAGAGTAAGTTGATTGATTGTCTAAAGATCTGGAGGTGGGGCCGGGCACGGTGGCTCACAGCTGTTATCCCAGCACTTTGGGAGGCCAAGGTGGGCAGATCACAAGGTCAAGAGTTCAAGACCAGCCTGGCCAACATGGTGAAACCCCATCTCTACTAAAAATACAAAAATTAGCCAGGCGTGATTGTGCTCACCTGTAATCCCAGCTACTAGCGAGGCTGAGACAGGAGAATTGCTTGAACCCAGGAGGCAGAGGTTGCAGTGAGCTGAGATCGCGCCACTGCACTCCAGCCTGGGTGACAGAGAAAGACTCTGTATTGGGAAAAAAAAAAAAAAATCTGGAGGTGGGAGCCTCCAGCACCAAAACAGCAAAAGGTGAATCATCTCTTAACTCTAACACCTCAGTTTCCGTAAAGGGGTAGGTGGTGTTTACACCAACAGCCTTTCAGTGGGGGTGGAGGGTAGAAGGAGAGAAGGAGGGAGAGGGAACAGGGAGGGGATGGAGAGAACTGAAAGAAACTGCACTTGAAGCATCTGAAAAGAAATCTTGACTTACATTTTGTTTGGGGAGTGATTTGTTCCACTCAACTTGACCAGGGAATGCCAGTGATTCTGAGAGTTTTCAAGCCATGTGTCACTTAGTTTTCCATTTCAGCAGTAACCTTGCCCTCTCCTCTGTTTCTATGTTTTTCAAGCACAATTTATTATTCCAGTCAGGAAGCTTTCTCAGAAATGTGGCTCTGAAAGGCAGGGAGAAGTACTTGCCATGACTCAATGTCAAAGCGACTTTTCCTTCTTTTACTTTTGCTTTTGTTAGATCTTCAGTTACTAGGTTCTGTGTGTACCATATAACAAGCCGTGCAGTGTAGGGGTGGGTTTCTAAGTTAATCGTCTCCCCATCAGTCTCCTAATTGCCAGTGGAGGTGGATTTAAGTTACATTTTAAAGATAGAAAGGGCAGAATTTGCTAATAGATTAGATTAAAAGATGAGGGAACAAGGATAGCTCAGGTTGTTAGTTTGAACAACTGAGTCAAAGGAGTGCTATTCCTCTGAGATGAGAAGACAGCAGGGAAGGTTCAGCTTAGGGGAGGAGGGGAGAATCTGGAGTTCCAGTGAGACCATGTGAAGTTTGTTAGGCATCCAATGAAAATGCTGAGCAAGCAGTTAGACAGCAATCTCTTCTGAAAAGAAGTCCATTCTGGAGATTAAATGCACACATAAAGGGGCAGCTGAAGCAATGATAATAGAGAGGAAAGGACAGGCATGCACATCTTGTGAATGATTTTAAGGACAATGGTTTTAGTATTTCAACATGTGTAGTGATTATGCTTGGTTTCTCACAAATAGTCTTTAGCTTGTACTAGGTTTTTCAGTTTATTTGATTTCAGGATTTTTATTTTTAGGATTAGCTATTTAAAAACCTTATTAAATGGCTTTTTGCAACTAGAAACATAATCACAATTTGTTGGTGTAATGACTTATAATAATAGATCTCTTAATATTGAACCATCCTTGCATTGATAAAACAAATCCTGGCTGGGTGCAGTGGCTCACACCTCTAATCCCAGCACTCTGGGAGGCCAAGGCAGGTGGATCACCTGAGGTCAGGAGCTTGAGGCCAGCCTGACCAACAAGGTGAAACCCCGTCTCTACTAAAAATACAAAAATTAGCTGGGCGTGGTGGCAGGCACCTGTAGTCCCAGCTACTCGGGGAGCTGAGACAGGAGAAATGCTTGAACTCAGGAGGTGGAGGTTACAGTGGGCTGAGATCATGCCACTGCACTCCAGCTTGGGCAATGGAGCGAGACTCCATCTCAAAAAAAAAAAAAAAAGAAGAAATCCTATCTGGTTCTGATATATTATTATTCTACTGTATTGCCAGAACTGATTTATAATTCAGTACTCTCTTTGGAATTTATATGCATATATTCATAAGTAAAATTGGCTTATAGTTTCCTTTTTAATTTTTTTTTTAAGATTTTGGCATTATGTTTGTACTAGCCTTATAAAATATATTCTATTACCCAGAAGAGCTTCCTTAACATAGAAATTATTTATTATTTAAAACTTAGGTATATCTCATGGGCAAAACCATCTAAGTCTTTTGCCTTTTTGAATGGTAATTTTTACTAATGTTTTCGATATCCTATGTTATTAGTCTTTTCAAATTTTCTGTATTCTTGGATAAAATTTAATAATGAATATTTTTCAAACCACCTTTGCAAAATTATAACTGAGAAAATTATGACACTGAAAGAAATCAGACCTAACCAACTCCGCATTGTTTCTAACCTCTAATTTGTCCTTATTCATTCCTGGGCATAGGCCAGACTAACTCTGGAAAGGAATTTAGTTAATGGTTTGACTCTGAAACAAAATTGATAACAGCCCTTTCCAGAAAAGACCCACTTCTTTCCCGGGGACCAGTCTGCCTTTGCAGGACTAACAAATTAGCTACAACATTAGAAATTACAGTTTAGGTCATGCAACCTCTGGCTCCAAGAGTCTAAACCTCCCCAAATTTTTCCTGAGGGATAACATCACTATTGTAAAATCCAAGATCATTGCTTGAGATATTTTGCAGACCCTGCACTGGATGGATCAGCTGACACCACCCAGACCAGTAATCTGGCTCAACCAGTTCTGTCATTGCACCCAGAAACAGAAGACATTAAGAAAACTTCACTTCAACCCCCTATGATTCCATCTCCAAACTGACCAGTTAGCACTCCCCACTTCCCAAGCCCCCACCCGCCAAATTATCTTTAAAAACTCTGATCCCTGAATGCTCGGGAAGACTGATTTGAGTAATAATAAAACTCTGGTCTCCCGCACAGCCGGCTCTGTGTGAATTACTCTTTCTGCATTGCAATTCCTCTGTCTTGATAAATCAGCTCTGTCTAGGCAGCAGGCAAGGTGAACCCATTGGTTCACTGATTACATTTTGATAGAAAATTGCTAATTTTCTGCACATTTTAAAATGTATTTCTTTGAAGCTAATTGCAACATTCTTTTACACTTTAAAATATTGTTGTATACTTTGGATATAGTCCCTTGCTAATATCTACTACCCCGCACCCCCTCAACACACACACACATGCATGAACTCATACACACAGACACATACCAGGAGCTTTCCATCTTACCTGTCCTTTTGAAGACTAGCTTTTAGTTATATTGATCGTTTATATTATCTTTTTCTATTTCATAAACTTTAAGTCCTTCCTGTTTATTTTACAGTCTTGTTCTAGTTTCCTGTGTTGAATGAAAACAGGTGATTTATTTTCAATCTTTTTTGTTATGAAGGTATCTAAGAACAATGTCTTTTCCTCTCAATATACTTTTAGCTGTATTCCATATGTTCTCCTTTCTGTGTACATACTTGTAATGTCTATCTTATTTTCTCTTTGAATCAAGGTTTATTCAGAAGAGTGTTTCTTAATTTCCATGGGTTAGTTCTTTCTACCTTACAGATAATATGTTTTTGTCACAAAAATAAGCATCAAAGCTACGGACACTTATAGCAACAAGTACAAATGACAGTGTCCAGAGATCAACAAGGAAGCATTATGTATGGTCATTTGGGATCTAACTCCACTCTTTACCACCTATGATTTCCCAGAAAAATAGCCTCTCCGAGGCTGAGTTTCCTCATTTACAAGATGAAGCTAAGAGGAGTTGATAGTAACATTTGTGCTACAACCCAAAAGAGTTATCATAAGGTTCAAGCAAGGAGATGGATATGGCGACACGTTGACAACAGTCGTTTTACCTCGCTGTGCCATGTGAATGTTTACATTTAAAACTAGGCCATTCAGATGTGCAGCAGAAAGTAAGTGATTTTAATTTCTGTGTCCTAGCAGAGAACAACAACCAGAGCTGATTTGTGGAGACAAGAAAGCACCCTGGGGTGTTCTAGAAATAATCAAAGAAGTTGATGCTGGAAAAGACAGGACTTGAGAAGGCAGGGGCTTAGAGCCAATAAAAGGTGAATATCAATGTCAATATCAATTTATATTTCCAGGCCATTGACACTTGAGATATTTGGGTCACGGTCGTAACTGATGCAGCAGAGCATATTGATCCAGAGCTTGGGTGCTCAGAGTGGCAGAAAGCCTGGTAGCAGAAAGTCACACTACTTTATTATCTGTGTAACTGTGAAAAGTTGCCTACCATCTCTGGGCCATGTTTTTCTCGTATGCAAAATGAGAACAACATGCATGTGGCATTTAGACTAGTGCTTGGCATAAATACTTAAATAAATGTTAATAATTACTAATATTAATTAACAAACCAGTCATAACACTGCTTCTCTCAGATAGCCCTGTACCACAATAAAATATATATTTCAAAGTGTTCCATGAGTTACTTTTTTGTTGTTATTTGCTTTAATGAAAACTCACCAATAATCACAAACTTAAAACAAACCCATATAATTGGCTGCACTGCCATGTGCCTGTAGTCCCAGCTGCTTGGGAGATAGAGGCAGAAGGACTGCTTGAGACCAGAGGGCCACCTTGGGCAACATACTGAGAATCCATCGCTACAAACACAACCTCACGGTATTTAAAAGTGGAAAGGAGATAGGAAACATTAACAGCACAAATAAAAAAAAGAGAAAAATTATTTCCCCAGGCTTCAGAGACAAAATCTCATCCTGCTACTGAGATGTTCTTTTAAAAAGAGAAGACTGGTATGTAAAGATGCTAATCACATTACTCTTTCCAGCTCAGAGATCTGTGGGGTTCAGTTTTTCAGAAATCAGGACAGGGTAGTGGGTAGACCTCAGACTGGGAGGAGCACAACAAGGCTGGTAGGGACCACCTCAAAAGCACTGAAAGAAAAGGACCAGTTTATAATGCACTACTACGCTCCCCGCTTCAAGGATCCCCACTGCCCATTGCCAGGAAGAAGGGGCAGCAGGCTGGGCTCCCGAGTCTGGGGGCTGGCTTGCTTCGGAGAGCCCTGCCATCCACCCATCAGCATCCCAAATCCCTGCACCTTCAATGCCTTCTCTTCCTCCAACTTGGCCCAGACTCCATCAGTTCTGGGCTGGCAGGATCATATCATTTATTCCAATCATTTAGAAAGGCTCTGATGTGCCACCATTGGCCATGGGCAAGACAGAGCTGCACGCTTTGGAGTCAGGAAATTCTCCAAGTGCTGGCAGATCCCAACCACATAACTTTGAATCGGAATGCCATGTGCTCTCTTTCTTTTGCCCAGTTTTGAGTTTGTTCTCACTTACATGCTGTGTCTCCATACTCAGATATACAGTTGCCTTCACACACACACACACGCTCACACTCAAGCATGCACACAGTCACACAGACTCACTCATTTTGCACACTCGTGCACGCATCAGCATACTTATACACACTTAAATGCATGCCCACACTCACAATCACACACACACACACAGAGGTGACCTCACAGCAGCAGAAGGTATATAGAGAAAGCTACTTCTAGGATGCTGTGCTCCTATGAGGGGCATAGTAGGTTCTAACACCGAGGAAGTCCTTGTTTCTCTCTGGGCGCTAGGGGTGGGGAGAGAAGTCTGTGCTGTTGTTCTTAAGGTAGGAAAATACATAAATGGTCCGCCTTTGATCATATTATCTACACATCTCAAGGTACTGCTTTTAAACTGCTTCTTCTGACTTTTTAATCACAATTCTAACAACCATTATGTTAACATATTACATTAAAATTTTTTGTAAAGGTGTCACTTTTGGAAAAGCACTTAGGAGAGATAGTTTGTTCCCCCGCCCCCTCTTCTAGCACCCCAGACCTGCTGCTGGGCCTGTTAATAGCACCTGTTTCTGTTTGGGCAGGTGGCAGCAATTCTATTTTCCTTAGGATTTGCCAACATTCGGTGCTGGTTGTCAAGGCAGAGCCAGGAAGAGTAATTAATTTTATATCATGATTTTCCTGGATAAATGACCACCACCAGTGTGTATCTTGCTTCTCCTCCCATCAAGAGGTGAAGTGTATGTCCCTTTTTCATGACCAGGGCTGGATAGAGAATTTCTTGACCTGCAGAAAGCACCAGAAGTGGCTCTGGTGCCAGTCCCAGGCCTAGAGCCTGGCAGGTTCTTCTTTTGTGCGCTTGGAGCTCTGTCCCCATGTAAGATGGGCCACTCTGCTGGAGAGAGCATGTGGAGAGGAAGAGACAGCTGGCCAGCTGCCGAGTGTTCCTGTCATTACACAAAAGGTGCCAGGTAGGTGAGTATAGCCATTTTGCTCCTGCCCCAGCCAAGTTCCTGGTTTGTGCTGCCACCAGAGTGACCCCAGTCCACACCACATGGAGCAGCAGTGAGCTGTCCCTACAGAACCCTGCCAGGTTGTAGAATCCTGTGCATTAAGGCTCTAAGTTTTGGAGTGGTTTGTTACACATCAATAGATAACTGATACAAAATGCCCACCGGAACTAATGAAGGTCTCCAGCTGAAGGATCAATGTGCACACTGACCTCTGTTCTATGACATACATTATTTTGATACCTTGTATCTTAAGCCACTTATCAATGAGAATGTATATATATATATACATATCCTAAAAATCTCCCTACAAACCAGGTGTAATTATTTCTATTTTATAAGTGAAGAAACTGATGGTTAAAGACCAGCCGAAAGCCACAATCTAGAAATAGACTCAGCTACTGAATAATCCAGATCTATGCAATTCCACAGCTTATGGTTCCTTCTGGTGCATCCTACTGTCCTTAATTATGATGATTCTTTTGGGACTCTGCCACCTAATAACCTTATACATTTCTAATGCATGCATAAAGTGAGTCATACTGGACAAAAGAAATTGTCAAGTAAAAATCATGTTTCACACAATCGCTAGGAACCCTCTTTGTGTCCTCCAGCTTTGTTGCTACAGAGCATACAGTAGTGCCCTGATACTGCTTCCATCAAGAATGTCTGTAAACCTGATGTTTTATCAGTGATTATAATGTGTGTTTGGGTTTTTCTGGTTTGTTTCATTTTAGTGGAGGACACCCTGGGTTTTAAGTTGAATGAAGTTCACCAAAACCGATTACGTCTTTCCCCCATCATTTCTCAGTGAAAATAAAAGAGAGCGGTCTTGCAGCAAACTTTTCCAGGAAGAAAAAAAAATTAGAATGAGAGTGGGAATGAGAATTAAATCATAGAAGATGAACCACTTTGCTTTATTCGAGATGAAAACAAAATGCTCCTTCAATAAACACTTGAAGGAAAAAACCCTCCTTATTTTGACCTTCAGCATCCCAGGGGAAGCTTCTCATGGCAAAAGCCCCAGCCCTTGAGCCTGGAACCTTTGACTAGAAGTGTACCTGACCTGCACAGGGTTAGCAAATGTTCTAGGACAAAGAGCTGTTACTCTCTATTTCCAGAGCAGTTTGCCTGGTGTACACATGTGGATGTTTGAATGGCCTCTCAACTGTGTGACTGGTGAGGGGTTTCCACACCAAGCCTTCTACCAACAGCTTGCTGGTGGAGAGGGGAAGAGAAGGGCAGGGGCTTTGCTGTCAGTCAGACCAACCTTGGCTGGAATCCTGTGTCTACCACTCACTGTGTTATCTTGGGGAAGATACTTAGCATCTCTAAGTTTCTAATCTGTAAAATAAAAACAATCATACCCTTTAATTTTGGCTGTAAAATAGAGGAGCCCAATTCTTTGTCATTATCTCCCACATCAAAAATGGGCAGAAACACACACCTTAGTGTGTCCAATGTGGCTGACTGTATCCACTACAGAACAAAGGGAAGGGATGTGTGACAGAGACCAGTATCTATCTCATTTCTCTGTCTTCCTAGTAAAACAAAGAAAAAAAAAGCCCCAATTTTTTGATAAGCACATAGTTATCTAAAATAAAGACTAAATTTTCTAGCCACCATTGCTGCTGGCACATAGCAAAGCTCTGGACAACAAAATATAAGTGCAAGTATCATGTGAAATCTTTTGAAAGATTTTTAAAAGGAGAAGGCCTGCCCTTGTTAGTCTTTTCCTGATTTATGCTGGCTGGAATATGGATGTGAAGGCTGGAGCCTAAGCAGCCATCTTGAGCTAAGGGCAGCATCTGCAGGGTGGCAGAGCAACATGGTTAGGAGCAGCCTGAGTTCCTGATGCTCGCAAAGGGGCCAAACCTCTTGGTTCCTTCAGTAAAAGAGAAACAAACTTTTTAAAAAAGTATTTTTAAACCACAATTAGCTTCAGTTTTTCTGTTACCCGCAACTGAACTTAACCATTACCAGTACTGGAAGTTAACATGCTTTGTGGTCAATTTGCTCACAATATTTGTTTTCCAAGATGGTTTCTTCCTGATTTCTTAAAACTTGAATCTATTTGACATGCTGTCTGAAGCGTTGTTCATCTTCCTCAAGCAAGGTCACTGTTGGATTCTCATCCAGTGTGCTTGCTAAAGTCTGTGGTACTCACTGCTCCGAAAACACTCCAGGAATCCCAGTGGCTTCTGGACTGAAAAGTTAAAGGGAAAGACATAGCTTTGAGAAATTTGCCACATCAGACCACATTATGTTCATTAATAGTGAAAATACTGACATGTTTTAATGTTTACTATGTGCTGAGTACTTGGAGTATCTCATTTAATCATTCCAACAAACTTGTGACTTACTACTCTTGTCATTTCTGTACTGTGAATGGGAAAACCAAGGCTCTTAGCCACTTCAGCAACTGCCTTCTCAAAACAGCGTACTGCTGGAATCAGCCATCAGCCAGGCCCTGAGAATACTATGGCTCTATTTCCCTGAATTCTCTGGTATCTAAATCTAAATCTGAAGACAGTGCAGGAAAATTTCCCTCTTCTTTGTGCTGCTGTGTGAATGGGGACATGCCCTTTTGCAGCCCTGATTCCTGAGCCCCTGGTTCTGAACCTGAGACAAAATAGGCCCTCACTAAAAACAAGGTCTTTTTTTCTAGTAGTCTCTTATGAGTAACTATCTCCTATCTTACACATAATCTCCCAAGCTGGAGGCACGATTTGGATTAACGTCTGCTCACACTTGATTTATGATATTTCATTTCAAACCCCATTAATCTATCTAGCATTGATAAAGCTTCTGAACTTTGTGTTGCTTCCTGAGATTACTTTGAATCATGCATTCATACCCTTGATCATTTTTTAAAAACCTGACTGCAGGCTCAGGGATAAATTCCATGCTGTTCTGTAAATTTATCACCAACTTAATTTGGAATTTGTACTTGTCTCCACTTGAGTTACCTGGACCTTCAGTCAGATCCGAAAGTCCAAATCCCAACTCAGATTCTATTCTTTGAATCCCATAAAAAAATTTCTGATGCATAAAAATATCAGATAAAATAAATATTTGGCCTTTTCCATTACAGTCTAAGAAGATTTAATGCCAGATAAAATTGACAAATGTAGACTTTCATCCCAAAGTAAAATAAAATACCCTGAAATACAGACCCTCTCTCAAAACAGTACTGGTAAATAAAACACCTGGAGTGAGAGTGTTCCTCTTATACTGAAACCAGAGTACAAATTGAATATGTTGATGGTGCCTTCAAGATTCCTGAACATTCACAGCTGAGGAGTTAACATTTTGATGGATGAGCTGAACTCCCTTGGGGAAGGCTCGGTGTTGGAGAAGGCTCTGTGTTGGTTGGGTTTGCCATCCCTTGGTAGCAGCAGTCACAGGTGTATTCCACTGCAGTGAAATATGCCCAGCAAGCTCGGGACAGTGCAGCTGCAATGGTTTGCAATTACCCTTGAAAAATAAGCAATCTTGAGCCTTGTGTTGGTTGTCCAGAAGTATTAAAAACTGTGTTCTGCCTTACTCTTTTAAAGCTGCCACTCTCACAGTCATTTTGAAAGGGAATGTGTGGGCTGCTCCGAATGTCTCTCTGTTTACCAGCCCAAGATTAGCAAAGGGATCTCCAGAGTCCACAAAGTAATACTGTGGGTAACCCAGAGCCATTAATGCTCACATTCTTTCCTTGAGACCCTTGGGAAATGCATTCATTAATTCACCAGAAATGAATTGAGCCTTCCCTATGTGCCAGGCACTGTTCTAGCTGCAGTCTATAAACCAGACCAAACCCTTGCATTCCTAAAGCTTACATTCTAGGGCAGGAACACAGACAATAAGGAACATAGATCAATATATACTGTGTGTGATAAGTACCTACTGCAGATGCTGTGGGTGCTGCAACCATATCCCTAGGGCACCCACCATCCAGGACAAACTGAGTGCTTTCTCTGGCTGTGGCAGGCTAGGTCTCAGTAACTCAAGCCTCCATAACAACTGTTTCAGTACTGAGTGGTTAAGTTGAATATTAAAAGCCAGTGCCCTTATACAAAGGCTGGGATGTAACAAAAGCCCACCAAGAGTTTTGCCTAGGCCTTTCCTGGGACTTAATGCAGGAAAAAATAACAAAGGAATTCTTAACAGGACCATCTAGGATTACGTTTTATTGTGGGTCTGAATAAACTCCCCAGGCCTCCACAAACAAGGTTATTGAGGACCTGAAGGAACTCCCTAAACCTCCGTGATTTAGCAGGAGACGAGATAAGGGTAATCACCCCAGCACCTGATCCCATTTAGATTAAGTAAATTTACAGAAGCTCCAGAGGAAATTCTTCAGGACTCAGACCTTAGCTATAGATTAAAATAAGTTAATCACTAATGTCTTTAGATGAATGCACATTTACATTTAGACATATAGCTTAGAAGATATATAAACTCTGAAAAACTGTAATTTTGAGTTGGTCTGGCAATAATTTCCAGGCCTTCTCCCCGTACCTGGTTGCAGAAATAAAAACTCTTCCTCCCCAGTTCATCTACATCTCATTATTGGGCCATGAGAAATAGCAGCCCAACCCTCAGTTTGGTCCAGGAACTTGGCCATGAGAGTATAACAGGCCATTGCAGAGCAGGGCCAGAGTGCTAATGAATTCATGCCCTAGAAGAGACCCTCAGTCAGGGAGGAACAGAAGTTGGTATATTTGCCTCTCACCTCCAAATCCACCTTCACTGGCCTCCTGGAAAGGGAGGACATTTCCCCCTTCTCAGCTGGCAAAATGCTAGATTTTGTCAGTAGAGGGCACTGAGAACCCCTAAAGAGGAGTAGGCATCTCCTCCTGGTTCCAACCTATCTTCTCTGCTTGCGTATCTGGGCAGGAGCTAGCAGGCAGGGGCACCAGGGATACCCACACTACCACATCGACCCTGTGAATTTCAGTAGCACCAATCTCACGAGTAGCTCCTTAGTAGATTCTGCAACAAGATGCAATCCTGGGAACATCTTGCCCCAGCACCCTAGAGGGCTCGAGTCTTAGTGAGTCCCACAGGAGAAACACCTTAAAAAGCTTCTCTTCAACTCAGTGGGCCATGACCCACGGCGCTCTTCAATTAGATCTGGATTTCTGCTCTAAAGAAGGACCTCTTCAAGATTTGTTCCTTCTTTGATATTCTGCCACCATCTTAGAAGCAATGGCTGAGCTGTTTCCCTTATCCGTTGTTTCTGCATTCTTCATAGTTTTCTCTCTCCTAGTGGGTAATGTCCTCATGTGCCAAAAGATACCTGGGATTTGTTTTAGTCAAGCATGATAAGACATGCAGACATGAAAATGATTGTCATGAAGGAAGAAGTTTATATTCATATATCCCTACAAACAGGAGGCACAGCATGACACCAAGGAAAGCACCAGGATTGGCAGAGGGGAGAGAAGAGAGCCCTCTATTAAGATTTTCACAGGAAGGAATGGGTAAGGCAGAATAGGTATGCTGAATAAGCTTAGGATTGGGTAGTTTGAAAATTTCAAAGTGCTTTGCTATTTACGGGTGGTCCCTGGTTGTCCAAAACCTCTCTCTAGGGTGATTTTTGTTTTTTTGTTTTGTTTTTTGAGATGGAGTTTCGCTCTTGTTGTCCAGGCTAGAGTGCAATGGTGCAATCTCAGCTCACTGCAACCTCCACCTCCCGTGTTCAAGCGATTCTCCTGCCTCAGCCTCCCAAGTAGCTGGGATTACAAGTGCCTGCCACCATGCCTAATTTTTTGTATTTTTATTAGAGACAGGGCTTCACCATGTTGGCCAGGCTGGCCTCAAACTCCTGACCTCAGGTAGTCCACCCGCCTCAGCCTTCCAAAATGCTGGGATTACAGGCATAAGCCACCGCACCCGGCCTCTAGGGTGATTTTTATGCCATAGGTAATATTGGCTTGATTGATTGATAAAGGAGATGGTTGGCAATGCAGCTCTGGATTGGTGGTTTGTATATCAATGATATGCTCACAGAGGAGTCATTGGCCATCTCTAGGAATTAGCTAGCCCTGGGAGGGGCAGTCTTTCCAGGATCAAGGCTACAAGTGCTGGAGCATGAAGAATACAGAAAATAAGAAAATACAGTCAATCAACTTGATATAAATAACATAAAGTTAATAATTCTTTATATTAAATTTTCCCTGTTCAAATTACTCTCTGGATTCTGTCTCCTGACTGGTTTGTGATATATAATGTTGTCTTTAATATGTACTTATAAGTATGTGTAATCACTTACATATAAGTGATTATTTCCTTCTTTAATTCCAATCTCAAAATATTAGGGGCATACCCTGCAAGCATCCCAAACTTCTCTAGATTATCTTCAAGAATCTGAAAATATGTATCCAGAAGCCAGAAAATGATCACATCTTTTTTCTGACAATCTACTTTTAAGAATCTATAATCTGAAATAATCTGGAGATTGAACAATACTTGGGGCAAGAGATGCTGATCACAGAATTATTTATCTTAGCTTCTCACCCTTCTTTCATAAAACCTTTGTTTTCTTCATTCACTTATTTGAGATGGGGTCTTGCTATGTTGCCCAGGCTGGACTTGAACTCCTAGGCTCAAGTGATTCTCCTGCCCCAGTCTCCTGAGTAGCTGAGACTGAAGGTACATGCCACCATGTCCAGCTATTTGTATTTTTTATTACATGTCTATTCTCCTTTCGTATTTCTAATCCCAACTGAAATGTGAGCTCAATCAATGAGGCAGAGACCATTTCTGTCCTGTTTGTCATTGATCTCCATGAGACTGGAAAGGTCACCAAGAATGAGGAGCCAGGATAGAAGGAAGGGAAGAGGATGGAGAGAAAACCTGTGGGGAGTGTGAAAGTGAGCCTCTGCTACCTCCACCCCACACACTCATTAGAGGAGACAGTGTGACTAGAGGGAGTTGTGCTGAGCAGAAGCCCCCACAGGTGCATCTGGTACCCACAAGGCATGAGCAGAAGAGAAAGACAGTTGACAGGTGCAGCTGGCTAGGAAGGGCAAAGACATGCCCAGACCCATGCATGGGTCCAGCAAAGTGAATTACCCTGGAAAAGATCCAAAGCAAAAAAACTTCTCCCAGAGGTGTGAGGGAGTGTGCACATGTGTGTGTCCGTGAGCACTCACTGGAGGTGTGATTGTATATGTGTATACACTGATTGGAGGTAGGCTGGGAAGCAATTGCACCCGTACATGATCACCTGCTCCAGAAGATTAGACTGGGCAACACAGACCACCTGAGTCACAAGGCAGGCAGGACTAAGTGGTGCCACCTGCAGCAGACAGGACTGAATAAGGGAGTGTAGATATCCCTCTCAGAGCAACACTGGAGGCCACGAGGAAGCCCGCTCCCCACTCCTCTGACCTGCAGTCCATCACTGAAGGGGACTCTGCTGGGTGAGGGCGGCAGCATGAGGGCTACAGCTGGTCCTGCACGGAGACTGAGAAGAGAATCTTGAAGTCACCTGGGAAACTGCTGGCTCAGGCTTACTGTTTGTGAAGGGTCAAGATTAAGTTTCCCCCCACTTCACAGAAATGAGGGCTGGAAATGAAAAACTCATTTACACTTTGAAATTAACAGGGGGTTCCATGGTGCTCTCCAGTGTTGTGGAGTGTTACAACTGCTCAATTTGCACGTGTTACATGTGTCCTTTGATAAGTGTTTCCCAAACTACCGTTGTGTGTGATATTAGGCATCACTGTTATAATTTTTTCCAAATCTCAGTGCCACTTATACCATTATTTATTTAATATTTTTCTTTACCTCAACTTGCGTTTTTACTTAGCTCCATTCTAAGCAATAAAATGTCATGGGTTTGCTGTGCTCATTATACTTTTATCATATATTACATTTAAATAAATACCTACTTACACCTGTTAAAATAAAAGGTATGATCTTTATACTACTTAATATCATCTCACATAGCATTGATAAGTGCCACATATTTTGGGAAACATGGTACTACATAGTGTGTGAGGCCCCTCATTTTATCTGAACCATGTGAATGATCAGCAGCATTCTACAGTAAGTGTCAGAAAGGCTAAGAAAGATTCTGTGAGCTGTTGGCATTTTTCTGATGGAGAGGAAGTTACTATGCCCTGTTTTAAGACTTTCTCTTCAAAAAATGTTCATCACTGAAGACATTTGGAAATATCAAGAACTTAAAAGGGAGCAGCTAGCTACTTCCATTTCCTTTCTAGGATTTCAGCATCCCAAGTGAGGTCAGCTTGGACAGAATAAGACCCATAATCTTTGGTGTTATCAAAAAAGATAAAGGGAAGAGAATAATTAAAGCAATTACAATATGTAAACAATTTAGAAAGAGCCCACTGCTGCATTTAGTGTGGTGGAAGCAATACTGAAACAGAAAAACAAGAGGCCCTCCATCCCCATCTTGCCTCTGCCTCTTATTGGCTATCCTGGAGACCTTCAGGTAAACCTCTCCCTCTGGGTGGAACTCAGATTTTTCTTCTATGGTGAGGGGGTTGGATTACATCAACACTTCTTAAGCTAACATTATTGGATAGGCATCATTACCTACCAGTGCCCTAACAAGAAATAAATATGCAGTAGCAATCAATTTTTCTAAATTCTCTTACTCTCCTGGAAAAAAATTGCAACCACTGAATAAAGTAGTCTCTAAGGCATATTCAGAAGCCAACATTCCATCCAAGGTTTCATGAGGTCATCTCAGTGAGGAATTTTGGGGAAAGCAGTGAGGTCAGGCCAGGCACAGTGGCTCATTCCTGTAATCTCAGCACTTTGAGAGGTCAAGGTAGGAGAATGGCTTGAGCCCAGGAGTTCAAGATGAGCCTGGGCAACATGACAAAACCCCATCTCTACAAAAAAAAAAAAAAAATTAATTAGCCAGGCATGGTGGCACATGCCTGTAGTCCCAGCTATTTGAGAATCTGAAATGGGCTTAAGCCCAGGAGGTTGAGGCTGCAGTGAACCATGATCACACCATTGTATTCCAGCATGAGTGACCACGTGACACCCTATTCCTCCTACTACTCCCAACAAAAAAAAGAAAGTGGTGGGGTCCTGGAGCAGTTAAAGTAACCATGGAACTCACCAATGAGCAGGGATTGGTATTGATATATTCATCATGGAGGTGGATGGGGTTCTTTCTCCTGCCCTTGGAGGAGAAATTCATGGTTAGATATATGAAAACTAAAGCTTCACCTCAAATGCATTTCCACACCTCCTCTCCCTTCCTTTTCCTCCAGCTGACCCTCTGAGTAGGCTTCCTCTGGAGGCACTCAGGCCCAGCCCAGAGGCACTGCAGGAGTTAAATCATCCTGGCTCCAGCCTGGTCTGGCCTATGAGCTGCAGTGCAATTGGAAGCTGATCAGGTTCCAGGGCACTGATTTTCTCTTAGGTAATCTTACTTTTACGTTTTCTGCTCTGCAAAACATGTTCGAAACCAACAATAACATTTGACTTTGTATTGACAGAGGCAACGCTTTCAAGATGCACAAAATTGCTTGAAGATTTATAGTCAGCTGAATTTTCATTTTTCACTCCTATAACCATGGCCTTGGTTTTTTTATCTTGACAAGCATATCTCCCTCTATACACGTTTGTGTACCATAATCCCTTGTTGCTCTTGTGTGACCTGCCTTAGAATGGTATGTAGCTGCAGGGTGCAGGGATGAGTCCATACCTCTGGTAGGGGCTGCACACACCTGATTCAATCGCATATCTTTTAGTTGTGTGGCAGGCTTAATGCAGGCATAGTGTATTAGTCCATTTTCATGGTGCTGATAAAGACATACCTGAGACTAGCAGGGCATGGTGGCTCACACCTGTAATCCCAGCACTTTGGGAGGCTGAGGCAGGCGGATCATCTGAGATCAAGAGTTCAAGACCAGCCTAACCAACATGGTGAAACACCATCTCTACTAAAAATACAAAAATTAGCTGGACATGGAGGCGCATGCCTGTAATCCCAGCTACTCAGGAGGCTGAGGCAGAAGAATCGCTTGAACCCAGGAGGTGGAGGTTGCAGCAAGCTGAGATCGCACCATTGCACTCCAGCCTGGGCAACAAGAGCAAAACTCCATCCCCCTAAAAAAAAAGACATACCTGAGACTGAGCAATTTACAAAAGAAAAGAGGTTTAATGGAGTCACAGTTCCATGTGGCTGAGGTGGCCTCACAGTTATGGTGGAAGGTGAAAGGCACGTCTCACGTGGCGGCAGACAAGAGAGGAGAGCTTGTGCAGGGAAAGTCCCCTTTATAAAACCATCAGATCTTGTGAGACTTATTCGCTATCATGAGGAACAGCATGGGAAAGATCCACCCCCATGATTTCAATTACCTCCCATTGAGTTCCTCCCACAACACGTGGGAATTATGGGAGTTACAATTCAAGATGAGATTTGGGTGGGGACACAGCCAAACCATATCACATAGGCACATTTAATCTACCCCCAAAGACCTCTTCCAGGCTTGCCTTAAAACCAGAAGACGGACCCAGTTCCCCTGCAGCAACTAGAAATGGGTTAATTTCACTCTTATTCTCTTCAAAATGATTTTGAGCTCAGAAATGAAGACCTTCATCCAGGCCAAACTGGGGTATTCCAGCTAGTAGGGTTCTGGTCTAGGATTCCTACCCAGCACTCAAGGCCATGCACAAATCAGCCCTAGTGCCCCATCCCCACCCAAGCTCCCTCCACAGGCCCTCGTGGACCAGTAAGAGCTAAAGCTAAGTAGATACCGTTCTAAGCACTGTACACCTATTGGCTAACTTCACACATAGGACAACCCTGTGAGAAAACAGTATGGCCACCACCATTTTGCAGATGGAGAAACACTGAGACAGAGAGAGAATAAGCAACTTGCCTAAAATCACAGGGATTCTCAGCAGTGGAGCTGATATGTAAACCCAGGCAGCCTGCCTCCCATACCAGCTTGCTCACTCTCATGGCACGGAAAGGTGTCCACCTGCTGAGCTCTTGACCTGCTTTCACTGATTGTAGCACAAAACCACGAGCAAGATCCAACTGAAAAGAACTGTGACTCAGTTCTGGTAAAACCCCTCCTCGACCCATGAAAGGCAGGCCAGAGAGTCACAGCCAGGAAAAGGATGTATGTAAGACTAACAGAAATGCGGGTAAGGGTGTGGGATAGCCTGTGAGCACTGGCCCTGAGGCAGTTCCTCAGGCAGGAGGGACACCTCCCTGCACCTGCTTATGCCCGCTGAGGCTGCCTGCCCTGTGAAACTGAGGCCAAGCGAGGATGCATCTCTACTAGGGTACTCCAAATAGAAACATCTTATATGACAATGACTTTTTCCCTGTATGGTATTTATTACTAACTCTGAATCATTTTGTTTCTTATATGATTTGCCAATAAACTCTGAAACGTCTTATTTTCTGATGGAGACACTGTTTTCTCTCTGTCTCTCCCTCACACACACCAGTTAAACTGGGTAATTCCTAGTGCCTGCCCACACCTTCCTGCAAGTGCTTCCTCCACCTAGAACTGCACTTAAACTACTGTAGCTGTGTGTCAGGGTCCTCTCTAATATTGAAAGTCCTGCTCAAATGCTACCTACCCAGCCAGGTGCAGTGGCTCACACCTGTGCTGGCTCACCTCACACTTTGGGAGGCCGAAGTGGGACCAGCATTTGAGGCCAGGAGTTGGAGACCAGCCTGGCCAACATGGCTAAACTCCATCTGTACTAAAAATAGAAAAAAATTAGCCAGGAGTGGTGGTGTGTGCCTGTAATCCCAGATACTCAGACAGCTGAGATGTGAGAATTGCTTGAACCAGGAGGCGGAGGTTGCACTGAGCTGAGATTGCACCACTGCACTCCAGCCTGGGCAACAGAGTGAGACTCTGTCTCAAAAAAAAAAAAAAAAAAAAAAAAGTGCCACCTATCTTAGAAAGCTTTCTTAATGTCTCCAGGAAAAGTAATCATAATCTTTCTCTTCTGTAAACTAAGAGCTTTCTACTTTAGCTCCTTTCTGGTTCCTTTATCTTGCATCTCACCTTCCTGTTCCCCTTGAGGTTGGAGTACCTTGCATTGACTTCCACTTCCATAGTGGATAGATCAATAATCAATACTAATCAAAAGATATTTGTTAAGTTTACTTTGATACATTTCATCCCCAGTGATGGCTGATGTTAGAAATTAGATTGTGATGATCATTCATGATGTCTGCTGACCGGAGGAAGATTAAAAAGAATCAAGACAATAGAAAGTGCAAATGGTGATGAATATTTGATTCAAAACAAGAAGGCAAAAAATAATTATGCATCCCACTTGTTATACAAGGAAACATTGTAAATTTATATTAAGTAAGGAGCCTACCGGGTAGAACTAAGATCCTGAAGTTATCTTCACCTTACTGCAGCAAATTCTGTAGTCCACAACCTTAATTCTTCTTTCGGTATAATATACAGACATTAATTGCTCAAATTTTTAAAATATCTCAGCAGGGCAAATTATTATTTTAATATTCTTCCTCTAACCCTGCCACCCTCAAGTGATACTGGTGAATGCTTTAAAATATGTAAAGATATTCAATGCCTCAATTATCCTCTGGGAATTTTAACTGTTGTTTTCATGTACATTAATAATTTTTCAGTGTAATTTTTCCCAAGAGAATGTATCAAAAAAAAGTATGCATAGATTTACATATGTAATTGCTAATAAACCTCCCAAGAAGAAAATAGCCTTCCATCCAGGTGGAAACAATATCACTTTAAATCAAAGCTTAATAATCATCAAAGTATTTTTACAAAGTTATAGAAGAATGCTAGGCTATAAATCCAAAGCAATCAGAAAATATCAACAGCAATTTTGACAAGTGGCTACTCACTTGACAGTTGTGAGCACACTGCAATCTCTATTATGCCTTATCTGCCATTTTGTGTGCCCAGAATGTGTATACCCTTCTTATTTGAAAGTAATTCCAAGAGAGTTGGGTGACATAGCCCTATGTCCCATCATGAATACCAAAGGAGCAGACATTTCCTCTCCCAATTCCCTGGCTACTCAGGTGTAAGCATGTGATGATGAACCTTGAGGAAGTAATAAAAAAGCCTGGAGAGAAACAAAAATTATTAGGATTCACTAATGTCTAGAGTCCAACAGAAATTTATAGAAAAGGCAGCATCTCAAGTTGAGATAACAGTATCATGCATATGTTTTTTTAAGTCCCTATCTGATAGAAAAAAGTGTAGCCCAGGCACAGTGGCTCACAGCACTCTGGGAGGCCAAGGCAGGAGGATCACTTGAGGCTAGGAATTCAAGACCAGCCTACACAACACAGGGAAACCTTGACTCCATTTTTAAAAATAAATGTAAAAAAATAAATTTATATATATATACATATAAAATATCTACAAGCAACTTAATGTGATGTCTGAGATTGCTTCAAAATAACTCCAGCAAAAAACAAAATTAATGTTTCAGTGGGGAATAAATTAAATAAGATTGGCAGAATTCTAACAAGGAATCTGAGAATGGATATGATCTGGTTTGGATGTTTGTCCCTCCAAATCTCATGTTGAAGGTGATCCTCATTGTTGCAGGAAGGGGCTTAACAGAAGGGGTTTGGGTTATGGGAGTGGATCCCTCATGAATGGTTTGGTGCTCTCCCAACAATAATGAGTGAGTTCTTGCTCTATTAGTTGCCTCAAGACCTGCTTGTTAAAAAGGACCTGATACCTCCTCCTCACTCTCTTGCTCCCTTTCTCGTCATGTGACGCTCCAGTTCCCCTTCCCCTCCACCAAGACTAAAAGCTTCCTGAGGGCCTCACGAGAAGCTGAGCAGATGTGGGTGCCATGCTTGCACAGCCTGTAGAAACATGAGTCAAATAAACTTATTTTCTTTATAAATTACCCAGTCTTGGATATTCTTTTATAGCAATGCAAAATGGACTAACACAGGATACATGGAGTTTCATTTTATTCTGCTATTGTATATGTTTAAACATTTTCATAAGAAGCTGAAACTCTTAAAATTTCAAGAGGGCCAGGCACAGTGGCTCGTGCCTGTAATACCAGCACTTTGTGAAGCCAAGGCGGGCAGATCACTTGAAGTCAGGAGTTTGAGACCAGCCTGGGCAATATGGCAAAACCCCATCTCTGCTAAAAATGCAAAAATTAGCGGGGCATGGTGGTGCACACCTGTAGTTCCCATTACTTGGGAGACTGAGGCAGGAGGATGGCTTAAGCCCAGGAGGCAGAGGTTGTAGTGAGCCAAGAGCATGCTACTGCGCTACAGCCTGGGTGACGGGAGTGAGGGAGTGAAACCCTGTCTCCAAACAAACAAAAAAAAAAAAAAAAAAAAAAAAAAAGGTCAAGAGCACAGGCAGGGAGCATCCCAGGGCAGTGGTATGTTTGGAGGCAGTGGAGGCCCCTGGGAGTACTGGAAAAGGAAGCAGCTTCTGCCTGCGTCTGCCCATGGCTGTACCCAGCTTCCCCACAGTTGCTGCCCATTTTCTGAGCTGGATTTTCTAGTCTTTGCAGCGATTCAGTGAAGTACCCATTATCCTTACATTTTTGTTTTCTAAGTTCCTACAATTTGCAACCAAGAACCTGAATGGCAAAACCTAAGCAAAATAAAATCTCTGGAAGACTTCCGGGTTGTCTCCTCTGGTGAGTGTAACCAGTCAACATAAAACTGGGCCAAATACCAGCCGGGCACGGTGGCTCACGCCTGTAATACCAGCACTTTGGGAGGCCGAGGCGGGTGGATCACGAGGTCAGGAGATCGAGACCATCTTGCCTAACACAGCGAAACACCGTGTCTACTTAAATTACAAAAAAATTAGCCGGGCATGGCAGCAGGCACCTGTAGTCTCAGCTACTCGGGAGGCTGAGGCAGGAGAATGGCATGAACCCGGGAAGCGGAGCTTGCAGTGAGCTGAGATCGCACCACTGTATTCCAGCCTGGGTGACAGAGCAAGACTCCGTCTCAGGGGAAAACAAACAAACAAATAAATAAAAATAAAAACAAAAACAAACAAACAAACAAACAAACTGGGACAAATACTACCAAAAGCAATCTACAGATTCAAAGCAATCCCTATCAAAATACCAATGTCATTGTTCACAAAAATTTTTTTTGAAAAATCCTAAAATTTGTATGGAAGCAAAAACAGCCCAAATAGCCAAGGTAATCCTAGGCAAAAAGAACAAAACTGGGGGTATCACACTACCTGACTTAAAATATATTATAAGGTTATAGTAACTAGAACAGCATGGTATTGGTATAAAAATAGACACATAGAGCAATGGAACAGAATAGAGAACTCAGATATACATCCACATATTTACAACCAAATGATCTTCAACAAAGCTGTCAAGAGCATCTGTCAAGAATGTGTCAGTGGGGAAATGACAAATTCTTCAATAAACGGTTCTGGGAAAACTGAATAACCATATGCAGCATAAAATTGGACCAATATCTCTCACCATACACAAAAATCAACTCAAGATGGATTAAAGACTTAAACATAAGATCTGAAACTGCTAGAAGCAAGCATAGGGAAACTCCTCAGGACATTGGTCTAGGCAAAGATTTTATGGCTAAGACCACAAAAGCATGGCAACAAAGACAAAAATCAGCAAATGGGACTATATTAAACTACAAGCTCCTGCACAGCAAATGAAACAATCCATGAAAAGACAACTTATTTTTTTTATTATTTTTTATTATTATTATACTTTAAGTTTTAGGGTACATGTGCACAATGGGCAGGTTAGTTACATATGTATACATGTGCCATGCTGGTGCACTGCACCCACTAACTCATCATCTAGCATTAGGTATATCTCCCAATGCTATCCCTCCCCCCTCCCCCCACCCCACAACAGTCCCCAGAGTGTGATGTTCCCCTTCCTGTGTCCATGTGTTCTCATTGTTCATTTGCCACCTATGAGTGAGAATATGCGATAGTTTACTGAGAATGATGATTTCCAATTTCATCCATGTCCCTACAAAGGACATGAACTCATCATTTTTTATGGCTGCATAGTATTCCATGGTGTATATGTGCCACATTTTCTTGATCCAGTCTATCATTGTTGGACATTTGGGTTGGTTCCAAGTCTTTGCTATTGTGAATAATGCCACAATAAACATACGTGTGCATGTGTCTTTATAGCAGCATGATTTATAGTCCTTTGGGTATATACCCAGTAATGGGATGGCTGGGTCAAATGGTATTTCTAGTTCTAGATCCCTGAGGAATCGCCACACTGACTTCCACAATGGTTAAACTAGTTTACAGTCCCACCAACAGTGTAAAAGTGTTCCTATTTCTCCACATCCTCTCCAGCACCTGTTGTTTCCTGACTTTTTAATGATTGCCATTCTAACTGGTGTGAGATGGTATCTCATTGTGGTTTTGATTTGCATTTCTCTGATGGCCAGTGATGGTGAGCATTTTTTCATGTGTTTTTTGGCTGCATAAATGTCTTCTTTTGAGAAGTGTCTGTTCATGTCCTTCACCCACTTTTTGATGGGGTTGTTTGTTTTTTTCTTGTAAATTTGTTGGAGTTCATTGTAGATTCTGGATATTAGCCCTTTGTCAGATGAGTAGGTTGCAAAAATTTTCTCCCATTTTGTGGGTTGCCTGTTCACTCTGATGGTAGTTTCTTTTGCTGTGCAGAAGCTCTTTAGTTTAATTAGATCCCATTTGTCAATTTTGGCTTTTGTTGTCATTGCTTTTGGTGTTTTAGACATGAAGTCTTTGCCCATGCCTATGTCCTGAATGGTAATGTCTAGGTTTTCTTCTAGGATTTTTATGGTTTTAGGTCTAACATTTAAGTCTTTAATCCATCTTGAATTGATTTTTGTATAAGGTGTAAGGAAGGGATCCAGTTTCAGCTTTCTACCTATGGCTAGCCAGTTTTCCCAGCACCATTTATTAAATAGGGAATCCTTTCCCCATTGCTTATTTTTCTCAGGTTTGTCAAAGATCAGACAGTTGTAGATATGCGGCATTATTTCTGAGGGCTCTGTTCTGTTCCATTGATCTATATCTCTGTTTTGGTACCAGTACCATGCTGTTTTAGTTACTGTAGCCTTGTAGTATAGTTTGAAGTCAGGTAGCGTGATGCCTCCAGCTTTGTTCCTTTGGCTTAGGATTGATTTGGCGATGCGGGCTCTTTTTTGGTTCCATATGAACTTTAAAGTAGTTTTTTCCAATTCTGTGAAGAAAGTCATTGGTAGATTGATGGGGATGGCATTGAATCTGTAAATTACCTTGGGCAGTATGGCCATTTTCATGATATTGATTCTTCCTACCCATGAGCATGGAATGTTCTTCCATTTGTTTGTATCCTCTTTTATTTCCTTGAGCAGTGGTTTGTAATTCTCCTTGAAGAGGTCCTTCACGTCCCTTGTAAGTTGGATTCCTAGGTATTTTATTCTCTTTGAAGCAATTGTGAATGGGAATTCACTCATGATTTGGCTCTCTGTTTGTCTGTTATTGGTGTATAAGAATGCTTGTGATTTTTGTACATTGATTTTGTGTCCTGAGACTTTGCTGAAGTTGCTTATCAGCTTAAGGAGATTTTGGGCTGAGACAATGGGGTTTTCTAGATATACAATCATGTCATCTGCAAACAGGGACAATTTGACTTCCTCTTTTCCTAATTGAATACCCTTTATTTCCTTCTCCTGCCTAATTGCCCTGGCCAGAACTTCCAACACTATGTTGAATAGGAGTTTTGAGAGAGGGCATCCCTGTCTTGTGCCAGTTTTCAAAGGGAATGCTTCCAGTTTTTGCCCATTCAGTATGATATTGGCTGTGGGTTTGTCATAGATAGCTCTTATTATTTTGAGATATGTCCCGTCAATACCTAATTTATTGAGAGTTTTTAGCATGAAGGGTTGTTGAATTTTGTCAAAGGCCTTTTCTGCAGAAAAGACAACTTATTAAATGGGAAAAAAATATTTGCCAACTACTCATCTGAGAGGAAATTAATAGCCAGAATATACAAGGTACTCAAACAACAGTAATTTTTTTTTAAATCCCAATCAAAACGGGAGGAGGACATGAATAGACATTTCTCAAAAGACATATAAATGGCCAGCAGGTATATGAAAATATGCTCAACATAACTAATCATCAGGGAAATGCAAATCAGAATCACAATGAGGTATCATCTTATCCCAGTTAGAATGACTATTATTAAAAAGACAAAAATAACAAATGTTGACAAAGATGTGGGGAAAGGGAGTTCATACACTATTAGCAGGAGTGTAGATTAGTACAACCTCCATAGAAAACAGTAAGGAGATTTCTCAAAAAACTAAAAATAGAACTATCATACGATCCTGCAATCCGATGACTGGGTATTTATCCAAAGAAAAAGAAATATATCAAAAGGATACCTGCAGTCCCATGTCTATTGCAGCACTATTCACAATAGCCAATGTATGCAATCAACCTAGGTGTCCATCAACAGATGAACGGATAAAGAAAATGTGGTATATGTACACAATGGAATGTTCTTCATCCATAACAAAGAATGAAATAACATCATTTGCAAAATAACTGAAGGTCATTATGTTAAATGAAACCAGGCTCAGAAAGACAAATACCCCATGTTCTCACTCATATGTAAGAGCTAAAAAAAGTTGATCTCACAGAGGTAGGGAGTGGAATTATAGACACCAAAGGCTGAGAAGTGTGCGTGGATGGGAAAAGGGGATGAACAGAGGTTGGTTAATGGGTATAAGAATACAGTTAGATAGAAGGAATAAGTTCTAACTTTTGACAAGAGAGTTAGGTGACCACAGTTAACAGTAATGTATTGGATATTTCAAAATAGCTAGAAAAGAGGTCTTGAAATGTACCCAACACAGAAATGATCAATACTCAGGTGATGTATATCACCCAAATATTCTGTCTTGATGGTCACACATTCTATGCGTGTAACAAAATATCACATGTACCCCATAAATATGTACAAATAAAATGTATCAAAAAATAAAAATAAATAAACAAATGCTTTTAAATTTAAAATACTGGGACAGGTTTGGCAAATAAGTTTTAGAAGTACAGCTGTTCTCCCCTCCTAAGCCGCTGACTTTGGTAATTAATCTAACACTAATTACCTTCTTGTTATTCCTGTTTATGGCCTCAGAATTTCTCAACACAGCTCTCCAGGCAGTGACTGCCTAACACAGCTGACCAGAAAATTAAAAGATATTTGCCATTCCCAGCCTAGGCAAAGCAAAACAAACAGGAAAATCTGCTACCATCCCTAAAAGATAATGTTGGTTTTTTGTGTGTGTTGTGTTTGTTTGTTTTTGAGACAGTCTCACTGTCACCCAGGTTGGAGTGCAGTAGCACAATCTCAGTTCACTGCAACCTCTGCTTCCTGGATTCAAGCGATTCTCCTGCCTAAGCCTTTTGCCACCATGCTTGGTTGTTTTATATTTTTAGTAGAGACAAGGTTTCATCATGTTGGCCAGGCTGGTCTCGAACTCTTGACCTCAAGTGGTCTGCCCACCTTGGCCTCCCAAAGTGCTGGGATTACAGGCATGAGCCACCACGCCCAGCCTAGATAATGTATTTTTAAGCTGATTATAAATGAGTTCATGATTATCATGTCCACCCTCTCCTCTCTCCAAGTTGTAAAGGTATAAATGACATATACATTGTATTTGGTATGAGTTAATATCAGGAACTCCTCAGAAGAAAACTTCACTGTAAGGGAATATTTCTGGACCTGAGGGCTTTAGAATCCCTTTTGTTCAATCTTATCTCTATCAGCTAAGTTGTTTGCCACAACCACAAACCACCACACACCTACACACACACACTCGTTTCATAGTGGAGTTTTTTTAAGTGCTCCCAAGAAATGAAGGCCATGTGAACTGGCGTTTCCCAGCACTGGAGGAGCTGCTAAACACTATACTATAAAGTATCGCTTCTAAAACTTTCTCATTGTAGGTGTAGAGGAGAGTAAATAGGATCAAGCCTTACTTCCCCCAACAGATCACCCACACAGATGGTAGAGTTCAGAGAAGCTGCCACAGCAGAAAATTCCTCATGATTTCTTTCAAATTGATCAAAATGTTACATCCTATTTTATAATACTTGTATTTGTTTAAATACAAAAACAATTACTTTTCCTCAAAAATTGATATTTCAAGAAGGAACATTAGCTTCACCTCTGCCCCATTTGGCCCTGGGATCTCCACACCCCAGTTGGAGAACAAAGGGGAAAGAAACTGGGCTTAGGGTTCAGGTCTGCTAGTAGAGCTGTTGAGCTTGACAGTAACCTTGGATCTGTCAGTTCTGCTCGCTGTGCCTCACCAGGATGTAACAGGATGGAATGAGGGGCTCTGTGGGACATTATTTTCCTGGAACTGGCAACCAAAGCCCATGGCTAAAATCCAAAGAGAGCAAGTGCCCTTCTTCAAAACTCACCAGCAGGAACCAATTCAAGGTTTGCTGAGAGGGGTCATTTCAGCTAGAACTGCACTTCCACAGTCACCAACCCCCCTCTCATGTGCCCAGGAGAGGGAGGGAGAACAAGGTCTCCAAGTGGGGAAAGGAGCAAAAGAATGCTTACGGTGACAGACATACTTTTCCTTAGCCAACCTGGAAGAGAGGGAGGCCCCAGGAGAGTTCCCCACAAAGCCCGCAAGGTGAAGGAGCCCACAAGGGGGAGATTTACATCACTGACCTTGGTGTTTTCCTGAGCGCTGGGACTCCTAGCAGGATAAAAAGGCAGAAAAGGGTTCTGGGAATGGGCTCTAGAGTTTGAGCCCCAAGAGATACAGAGAATAGGCTTGGCCATGTCCAGAAACCCCAGGTTTAGGCTATGGAGACTGGTTGAGCTTAGAGCTCTCAAGGATGTTGGATAAAACTGGAAGCCACAGTTTAGCTTTAGGTTAGCTCAAGGGCAGGAAAGTCAGACAAGCACCCTCCCAGAGGCACTGCTAGACATCAGTGGGCCTGTTGGACACTGCCCATCCTCTCTGAGTCAGAGAACAACAGGCAAAATCCATGGTGGTGACCAGTGTCAAGGAGAGAAATGAGCTCCAGTATTAGGGAAGCAACCAGAGGAACAGGGTGGGAGAAAGATAAGTGAAAGCCGTCTCTTCCCCACTTGCTCCTCCAGACCCCTTGAGCAGGGCTCTCAATCTTGGATCACATTAGAGTCACCTGAAGCCTTAAACCCCAGCATCTCTGGCAGGAGGGCCCAAGTGTCAGGACTTGTAAAGCTCTGCAGATGTTACCAATATGCAGCCAAGACTAAGAGGAGGAAACTAGAACTGATCATGAGGCTAGAGTTTTAAAATGCATGGGAGTGAGTCACAAAACTGGAATGAGATTGTTTCATCACTAAAAGTGGCTGGAAACATAACACTGGGTAGAAATCTGAAGACACTCTTAGCACAGAGAAAATGTAGCAGTGTTCGGAAAAACAAAATTGTTTTATGTTTATATTCCCAAAGAGCCAGAAATCTTCAATCACATTAGTTATACATGAAATGGGGGTAAAAAACATCTAACTCATATGGTTATTTGGAGATACAAGAGGTATGTGGAAGGTTCATTAGGGCAGGGATTCTTTGTTTTGTTCAGTCCTAAAGTTTTTGCCTAGCACATGGTGGGCTCTCAAAGGTACTGCTTGGATAATAAATAGTTACGGGCAAGTACTAATCAAACATAAGCTTATGTTAGAGATGCCTATATCCCTGCAAATTAGTCAGCTCTTCTTCATTTAAGTTCCCCAGAAGTGGAACCTGAGTCAAGGACATGGTGTTATGCCAGACCCCTGCTAACTCCACTAGGGGCAGCACCAAGTTTGAGAGGCTGAGGAGAAGATCAAAAGCCAGCAAGAGAGACACAGGGTTTATTGAGAGGAACTTACACACAAGGCAGCCCAGGGGCTGCAGGCTGAACGGGAGAGTGGCTGCTGCCTGTGGAAAGTGAGCAGTTTATATAGAATTTTCACTTAACACTCTTCCCCCTAACAACCTCCACCTGGCAACATTCATTTAACCAAAAACAAAGGGCCTCAATCCCCTGTATGTCCCCCGTTCCTCAGGAGGGGGATGGGCCAGCAGCTCAGATGTTCCTCATAGATAAGGAATGAATGGCCGGGTTGGCCACACTTGGAACTCCCAACACACATTCAGGTGTGTCTGCCATTCTCAGTGTATACTTAAGTTATCCCTCTCAGGTGCATCTACCATACACATGTGTCTACCATACACATGGGTCAGGTGGTTTATTTGAGATGTGATCCCAGGAAGCCAGAGAGAGAAAAAAGAGAGGAGTGAGATAGGGAAGGAGGGAGAACCAATGAAGGGTGCTTGATTAGCTGGTGACTGTCATGAGAGATTAGGTTCAGTCCTATTAGGGGAGCCAGGCAGAAATGCAGCTCAGAATCATTGGTCCAGGGGCTGGGTGTGGTGGCTGACTTCTGTATTCCCAGCACTTTCAGAGGCCGAGGCAGGCAGATTGCTTGAGCCCAGGAGTTGAAGACCAGCCTGGGCAACATGAACATGAAGAAACTCTGTCTCAAATTTAGCCAGGCATGGTGGCACACACCTGTAGGCCCATATACTCAGGAGGGTGAGGTGGTAGGATCACCTGAGCCTGGGAGGCAGAGGTGAACTGAAATTATACTGCAGCACTCCAGCCTGGGTGACACTGCAAGACCCTGTCTCAAAAAAAAAAAAACCATTGGTCTCAAAATCATTGAGAGGGTGAGGGCTGGGGCTAGGGCCTTTATCCATGGACACCTGTCCCAGTGGTTGTTGATTATGGTGGAGGCCTCAACTCCCTGACACTTCCAGGCTAGAGCACGTGGGCTGAGTGAGCTCCTTGCACACTGAATAAATACTTAAGGCAGAAAGAGCTGAGATCCATGAGTGCTTGTGGTGGGAGGTGGTCTGCCTGAAAGCTCCCACCACACTACAGCCAAAAGCAGAGAAGGACTGAGGGCCTGTAGCAGGGGACACCAACAGCATCTGCTCTGTGAATAATCAAGCGTTAACAGGTGTTAACTATTTATGAAGTTCCGTGCATGCCTCAGGAGACAGGCATGATAACTAATCACAGAACAATTTTATAATTTAAAAAGGGATTTGATTCTCTTCTCTGTCTAGACAGAAAATAAGCTAGGAAAATGACTCAAACCCTGGATGTTTAAACAGAACATTTTGTGTGCACCTTAAGATATGCAGTCTCTAGTGTGGAAAGTCAGATTAATACACATTACTTTGCTTGGAAACTAATTAAATTTTTCTGTATGCCTCCTTGGCCTCTATCAATTAACTGTAATTTAAACTTTACCTGGATCTTTCCATAGAGGAAATAAAATACACAACCAAAGTTCTGGAAAGCAAACACAGTATTCTTAGGGGGAAACTTGTAAGGTATGAGATAAAAGCTGAGAATATGGTAGTTTGGACTTCAGCTGATTTCAGACTGTATTATTCAAGGAGGACAAGGCCTGGAAGGTACAAAAAAACTTAACAAATATGCTGACCTGCATTACCTATTTCAAGGGGATGTTAAGGCCACTCATTTCCCAAAATAAAGAACATCAAGCAGAGAAACAGATCAAACCATGGGGCAAAGGAAACTCTCCTACATAATATTGCTCCCTAGGCTTTTTCTTGTGTGGGTTCTAAATGCTTCTGCAGCCTAAACAAAGAGCTAGTAGAAGGAATGATCCAAATGAGAGAGGCACAAAACTGTCTTTGAAAGTGAATAGGACTTTGTCCAGCCCATCATAGCCTATGGGAGCTCATGTGGTGAGATTAGCAGAAATGACTCATTTTTCATTGGGTCATGCCCCTGAAGTGCCCTTTAAGTGTTTTTTGGAGTCCCCAGGTATATCTCAGGTGTATTTATGAACATGTCAGCTTCATCTGAGTGCTGCTATTGTTTCTCTATTCCCTGCCAGATGTTGCCAGGATGTGTCCTTCTCCTGCTACAACTGAAACCTGGAACCCCCAAGATATCAACACTGCACAGCAGTCTCCCTTCCTTCATCTTATGCTCTGTTGCAGAAGTGTCAAAGCCATATGATTGATGCCCTCATGTCTTAGAGAAACAGCCTTGCCAGGTTTTATCTACAGCACACCCCTTCTCCAAGGGACACCCAATTATTGTATGAAATCCAAGGAGTAAAGAATTGGACCCAGTCAAGGCAAAGTGGCTCATGCCTGTGTCCCAACACTTTGGGAGGCCAAGGCAGGAGGATTGCTTGAGGCCAAGGGTTCAAGATTAGCTTAGGCAACATAGTGAGACCCTGTTTCTATAGAAAAATTGGCCACGTGTGGTGGTGCACACCCGTAGTCCCAACTACTCAGGAGGCTGAGGCAGGAGGCTTAGTTGAGCCCAGGAACTTGAGGCTGCAGTGAGCTATGATCACACCACTGCACTCCAGCCTAGGTGACAGAGTGAGACTCTGCTCTGAAATAATAATAATGAAATTTTTAGAAATAAAATAATTTTTAGAAAGACTCAGACACAATGGAGTGACAAACTCTTCAAAGCCCTCCCAATCACATCCTCTTGGCTATGGCTGGTTGAAGACTTCTTTGTTGTCATCTTTTATAAGGAAACTTCCTTTGGCTTTCTTTTTCAGGAGGCATCTTAGACCCTTCAGCTTTGCCCCAGTGGTCCTAAACTCCAGTCCAGAACCCCTTTTATGACAATAAATGTGGTTGTTTTATTTTCTTTACTCAATTTTCAATGCTTGTTCTTCTTAATGAGCATTTTCACTACCTAATTGCTTAATTAGATTACAATAAACTTACAGGATCATGTCAAAAATGAAGATTCTGCTTAAGTAGATCTGGGATGGGCCCACGATTCTGCCTTCTTTACAAGCCCGCAGGAGATACAGATGCTTCTCGTCTTGAACCGACCCTTGGGAAGCAAAGTTTAAGGGATTTTCAGACACATATGACATTGTTCCAGTTTGACTAGGAAAATGAATGCATCCCTACATAGGAAGCAGTAGCAGGGAGCATATGTCTGAGAATGAATACCTATTCTTGAAAATGCCCAGAATGTGGTGCATGAACACACTCACATAAGCGTGCTCTACAGCAGAGGTTTTCACACCTGAGTGTGCATCAGAATCACCTGGAAGGCTTAGTAAACACAGACTGTGGGCCCCACCCCCAGAGCTTCCACTTTAGTAGGCCTGGGTTGGAGCCCAAGAATCTACATTTCTAACAAGTTCCCAGGTGATGCAAATACTGCTGGCCCACGGACCATTTTGAGAGCTGCTGCTCTAGCAACACTGAAACCAGTAAAACCTCCACTATAAGAAATGACAGTTTCCAGTCATCAGCGTGAGAACAAATTACCCTCTGGATTCCTGCGCCGCTACACAAAAATGTTAAATCATCTAGGCTGGACTTATCTGCCTTCTGACATATGTCCCCCCACCTTTTGCAAACGTTCACAAAGACCTTTCAATATTAATCTCCATATGTTTACTTTGACTTTTAACCTGGGTCTTTGTATTTGAAGTGGAATACCTGTAGACAACATACAGTTGAGTCTTATTTTTTCAATTCACTCTCCAGTCTGAAAATCGGTCTTCCTATCAGTGTATTGAAACCACCTATATTTAAGGTGATTATTAATAGAGTTAGATTAGTATCTACCACGTTTGCCACTGCTATCTATTGGTTGCATTTGTTCTTTCTTTTTAAAAAAAAAAAAAAGGTGATGGTGTCTCACTGTGTTACCCAGGTTAGTCTCAAACTCCTGGGCTCTAATGATTCTCCCACCTCAGTCACCTAAGTAGCTGGGACTACAACTGCATGCCACCGCACCCATCTGTTCTTTCTTTTTTTTTTTTTTGCCCTCCTTTTCCTTCCTTCCTTCTCTGGTTTTGAGTATTTGATATGATTGAATTTTATCTTCCTAGTGCACCCATTATACTTCTTTTAAAATTTTCTACCTCTAAAGTATATCATATATATGTTCTTAACTAATCTAAATCTATTCTCAAATAACATCATAACTCTTCACATGTAGGGCAGGCACCTGATAACAAGCACCTGGTCCCAATTTCTCTCTAGCCCCTTGTGACATTGCATTCATTCATTTTAATTATCTACATGCTAATCATCACCCAATACACTGTTACTATTATTACTTCGAACAGTTCTCTTTTAGATCAATTAAGAATAAGAAAATAAATTATTTTATTTTACCTTTGTTTATTCCTTTACCAACACTCTTCCATTCTTTATACAGATCCAAGTTTCTCACCTGTATCATTTTCCTTCTGCCTGAAAACTTCTTGTAACATTTCTTGCAAGGAGTATCTGGTGGTAAAATTTCTTTTCAGTTTTTATTGGCCTGAGAAATTATTTCTTCTTCATTTTAGAAGAATAATTTTGCTGAATATAAAATTCTAGGGGCAGTGTGAGAAGAGGCGAGAACAACCACTGATCTGACCAAAGCCTGCTGCATCCTGCCCCAGCGCCTACGTCCCACCGCTGTCGCCGCCACCGTGCCCAAGAGAAAGGCTGAAGGTGATGCTAAAGGAGATAAAGCCAAGGTGAAGGACAAACCACAGAGAAGATCCATGAGGCTGTCTGCCAAACCTGCTCCTCCAAAGCCAGAGCCCAAGCCTAAAAATGCCCCTGCAAAGAAGGGAGAGAAGGTACCCAAAGGGAAAAAGGGAGCCAGGCGCGGTGGCTTACGCCTGTAACCCCGGCATGTTGGGAGGCCGAGGCCGGCGGATCACTTGAGGTCAGGAGATCGAGACCAGCCTGGCCAACATGATGAAACTCCACCTCTACTGAAAAATACACAAATTAGTTGGGCATGGTGGTGCATGCCTGTAATCCCAGCAACTCGGGAGGCTGAGGCAGGAGAATCACTTGAACCTGGAAGGCAGAGGTTGCAGTTAGCCGAGATGGCGCCACTGCACTCCAGCTTGGGCAACAGAGCGAGACTCTGTCTCAAAAAAAAAAGAAAAGAAAAGCTGATGCTGGCAAGGAGGGGAATAACCCAGCAGAAAATGGGGATGCCAAAAGAGACGAGGCACAGAAAGCTGAAGGTACTGGAGATGCCAAGTGAAATGTGTGCGTTTTTTATAACTGTGTACTTCTGGTGACTGTACAATTTGAAATACTATTTTTATCAAGTTTTATAAAAATGCAGAATTTTGTTTTACTTTTTTTTTAAGCTATGTTGTTAGCACACAGAACACTTCATTACTATTTTTGGGGGAAGAGGCATATGTCACTCATAGAATGTCTCCGAAGCTGGATTGATGTGAGGAAAACACCCTTCCCTTCTAGTTTTGAGAGACTTCCTCTTGGCTCCCAGGAGGAAGGATTCCCTGACTTTGACACCCATGGCCATCTTCGCACAAAAGCCTTGTGGGAGGGAAAAACAAATTCATTTTTATGTCCTCTTCTCCCTTTCCACCTTTCAGCATAGACTTAACTCCCTGAAGCCCAGACATCTGTTGGGACCTGACCCCCAACAATTGGTTACCAGTGTGTCAGGCAATCTGGACTTTCCAGTGATACCAGTGAGATGGCACCCCTCAAAAGAGCAATGGTT